>NC_000023.11:61173271-61212316 GCF_000001405.40 Homo sapiens
AAAATACCACAAGCTAGACCAGGCACAGTAGCTCATGCCTGTAATCCCAGCACTTTGGGAGGCCGAGGAGCATTCTCAGAAAGTTTTCTGCGATGACTGCATTCAACTCACAGAGTTGAACAATCCTTTTGATGGAGCAGTTTTGAAACCCTCTTTCTTTGGAATCTGCAAGGGGATATGTGGACCTCTTTGAAGATTTCACTGGAAACGGGATCATCTTCACATAAGAACTAAACAGAAGCATTCTCGGAAACTACTTTGTGATGTTTGTATTCAACTCCCAGAGTTGAACTTTCCTTTTGAAAGAGCAGCTATGAAACACTCTTTTTCGAGAATCTGCAAGTGGACGTTTGGAGGGCTTTGAGGCCTGTGGTGGAAAAGGAAATATCTTCACATAAAAACTAGATAGAAGCATTCTCAGAAACGACTTTGTGAGGATGGCATTCAACTCATGGAGTTGAACAATCCTATTGATAGAGCAGATTGGAATCACTCTTTTTGTAGAATCTGCAAATGGAGATTTGGACTGCTTTGAGGCCTACGGTAGTATAGGAAGGAACTTCATATAAAAGGCAAACGGAAGCATTCTCAGAATATTTTTGTGATGATGGAGTTTCACTCACAGAGCTGAACATGCCTTTTGATGGAGCAGTTTCCAAATACACTTTTGGTAGAATCTGCAGGTGGATATTTGGAGCTCTCTGAGGATTTCGTTGGAAACGGGAATAATTTCCCATAACTAAACACAAACACGCTGAGAAAGTTCTTCATGATGAATGCATTGAACTCGCAGAGATGAACCTGCCTTTGAGAGTTCAGGTTCGAAACACTCTTTCTGTAGAATCTGCAAGTGGATATTTGGACCACTGGGTGGCCTTCGTTCGAAACGGCTATATGTTCACGTAAAAACTAAACAGAAGCGTTCTCAGAAACTTCTGAGTGATGATTGCATTCAAGTCACACGGTTGAACCCTCCTTTTGATTGAGCAGTTTTGAAACTGTCTTTTTGTAGAATCTGTAAGTGGATACGTGGACCTCTTTGAAGATTTCTTTCGAAACGGGAATATTTCCACAGAAAAACTAAACTGAAGCATTCTCAGAAACCGCTTTGTGATGTTTGTGTTCGAGCCACAGAGTTTAACATTGCTTTTCATAGAGCAGTTTTGAAATATTCTTTTGGCAGAATCTGCAAGTGGACATTTGGAGCGCTTTCAGGCCTGTGGTGGAAAAGGCCTGAAAGCCTTTTCCTTTATCTTCACAGAAAGACGAGAGAGAAGCATTGTCAGAAACTTCTTTGTGATGATTGCATTCAACTCACAGAGTTGAAGATTCCTTTTGAAACAGCAGTTTCGAAACACTCTTTCTGTGGGATCCGCAAGGGGATATTTGGACCTCTTTGAAGGTTTCGTTGGAAACGGGATAATCTTCACCTAAAAGCTAAACGGAAGCATTCTCAGAAACTTCTTTGGGATGTTTGCATTCACCTCACAGAGTTGAACTTTCCCTTTGATAGCGCAGCTTTGACACACTTTTTCTACAATGTGCAAGTGACTATTTAGCGGGCTTGGAGGACTGTGTTGGAAAAGGAAATATCTTCTCCTAAAAACGACATAGAAGCATTCTCAGAAACTGCTCTGTGATGATTGCATTCAACTCCCAGAGTTGAACATTCCTTTTGATAGAGCAGTTTGCAAACACTCTTTTTGTAGAATCTGCAAGTGGAGATTTGGACCGCTTTGAGGCCTGTGGTAGTGAAGGAAAGAACTTCATATAAAAACCAGACGGTAGCACTCTCAGAAAATTCTTTGTGACGATGGAGTTTAACTCAGGGAGCTGAACATTCGTTATGATGGAGCAGTTTCCAAACACACGTTTTGTAGAATCTGCGAGGGGATATTTGGACCTCTCTGAGGATTTCGTTGGAAACTGGATCAACTTCCCATAACTGAACGGAAGCAAACTCAGAACATTCTTTGTGATGTTTGTATTCAACTCACAGAGTTGAACCTTCCTTTGATAGTTCAGGTTTGCAACACCCTTGTAGTAGAATCTGCAAGTGTATATTTTGACCACTTTGTAGCCTTCGTTTGAAACATCTATATCTTCACATCAAACCTAGACAGAAGCATTCTCAGAAAGTTTTCTGCGATGACTGCATTCAACTCACAGAGTTGAACAATCCTTCTGATGGAGCAGTTTTGAAACCCTCTTTCTTTGGAATCTTCAAGGGGATATGTGGACCTCTTTGAAGATTTCACTGGAAACGGGATCATCTTCACATAAAAACTAAACTGAAGCATTCTCGGAAACTACTTTGTGATGTTTGTATTCAACTCCCAGAGTTGAACTTTCCTTTTGAAAGAGCAGCTATGAAACACTCTTTTTCGAGAATCTGCAAGTGGACGTTTGGAGGGCTTTGAGGCCTGTGGTGGAAAAGGAAATATCTTCACACAAAAACCAGATAGAAGCATTCTCAGAAACTACTTTGTGAGGATGGCATTCAACTCATGGAGTTGAACAATCCTATTGATAGAGCAGATTGGAATCACTCTTTTTGTAGAATCTGCAAATGGAGATTTGGACTGCTTTGAGGCCTACGGTAGTACAGGAAGGAACTTCATATAAAAGGCAAACGGAAGCATTCTCAGAATATTCTTTGTGATGATGGAGTTTCACTCACAGAGCTGAACATGCCTTTTGATGGAGCAGTTTCCAAATACGCTTTTGGTAGAATCTGCAGGTGGATATTTGGAGCTCTCTGAGGATTTCGTTGGAAACGGGAATAATTTCCCATAACTAAACACAAACACTCTGAGAAAGTTCTTCATGATGAATGCATTTAACTCGCAGAGATGAACCTGCCTTTGAGAGTTCAGGTTCGAAACACTCTTTCTGTAGAATCTGCAAGTGGATATTTGGACCACTGGGTGGCCTTCGTTCGAAACGGGTATATGTTCACGTAAAAACTAAAGAGAAGCATTCTCAGAAACTTCTGAGTGATGATTGCATTCAAGTCACACAGTTGAACCCTCCTTTTGATGGAGCAGTTTTGAAACTGTCTTTTTGTAGAATCTGTAAGTGGATACGTGGACCTCTTTGAAGATTTCTTTGGAAACGGGAATATTTCCACAGAAAAACTAAACTGAAACATTATCAGAAACCGCTTTGTGATGTTTGTGTTCCAGCCACAGAGTTTAACATTGCTTTTCATAGAGCAGTTTTGAAATATTCTTTTGGCAGAATCTGCAAGTGGACATTTGGAGCGCTTTCAGGCCTGTGGTGGCAAAGGCCTGAAAGCCTTTTCCTTTATCTTCACAGAAAGACGAGAGAGAAGCATTGTCAGAAACTTCTTTGTGATGATTGCATTCAACTCACAGAGTTGAAGATTCCTTTTGAAACAGCAGTTTCGAAACACTCTTTCTGTGGGATCCGCAAGGGGATATTTGGACCTCTTTGAAGGTTTCGTTGGAAACGGGATAATCTTCACCTAAAAGCTAAACGGAAGCATTCTCAGAAACTTCTTTGGGATGTTTGCATTCACCTCACAGAGTTGAACTTTCCCTTTGATAGCACAGCTTTGACACACTTTTTCTACAATGTGCAAGTGGCTATTTAGCGGGCTTGGAGGACTGTGTTGGAAAAGGAAATATCTTCTCCTAAAAACGACATAGAAGCATTCTCAGAAACTGCTCTGTGATGATTGCATTCAACTCCCAGAGTTGAACATTCCTTTTGATAGAGCAGTTTGCAAACACTCTTTTTGTAGAATCTGCAAGTGGAGATTTGGACCGCTTTGAGGCCTGTGGTAGTGAAGGACAGAACTTCATATAAAAACCAGACGGTAGCACTCTCAGAAAATTCTTTGTGACGATGGAGTTTAACTCAGGGAGCTGAACATTCGTTATGACGGAGCAGTTTCCAAACACACGTTTTGTAGAATCTGCGAGGGGATATTTGGACCTCTCTGAGGATTTCGTTGGAAACGGGATCAACTTCCCATAACTGAACGGAAGCAAACTCAGAACATTCTTTGTGACGTTTGTATTCAACTCACAGAGTTGAACCTTCCTTTGATAGTTCAGGTTTGCAACACCCTTGTAGTAGAATCTGCAAGTGTATATTTTGACCACTTTGTAGCCTTCGTTTGAAACGTCTATATCTTCACATCAAACCTAGACAGAAGCATTCTCAGAAAGTTTTCTGCGATGACTGCATTCAACTCACAGAGTTGAAAAATCCTTCTGATGGAGCAGTTTTGAAACCCTCTTTCTTTGGAATCTGCAAGGGGATATGTGGACCTCTTTGAAGATTTCACTGGAAACGGGATCATCTTCACATAAAAACTAAACAGAAGCATTCTCGGAAACTATTTTGTGATGTTTGTATTCAACTCCCAGAGTTGAACTTTCCTTTTGAAAGAGCAGCTATGAAACACTCTTTTTCGAGAATCTGCAAGTGGACGTTTGGAGGGCTTTGAGGCCTGTGGTGGAAAAGGAAATATCTTCACACAAAAACCAGATAGAAGCATTCTCAGAAACTACTTTGTGAGGATGGCATTCAACTCATGGAGTTGAACAATCCTATTGATAGAGCAGATTGGAATCACTCTTTTTGTAGAATCTGCAAGTGGAGATTTGGACCGCTTTGAGGTCTGTGGTAGTGAAGGAAAGAACTTCATATAAAAACCAGACGGTAGCACTCTGAGAAAATTCTTTGTGACGATGGAGTTTAACTCAGGGAGCTGAACATTCGTTATGATGGAGCAGTTTCCAAACACACGTTTTGTAGAATCTGCAAGGGGATATTTGGACCTCTCTGAGGATTTCGTTGGAAACGGGATCAACTTCCCATAACTGAACGGAAGCAAACTCAGAACATTCTTTGTGATGTTTGTATTCAACTCACAGAGTTGAACCTTCCTTTGATAGTTCAGGTTTGCAACACCCTTGTAGTAGAATCTGCAAGTGTATATTTTGACCACTTTGTAGCCTTCGTTTGAAACGTCTATATCTTCACATCAAACCTAGACAGAAGCATTCTCAGAAAGTTTTCTGCGATGACTGCATTCAACTCACAGAGTTGAACAATCCTTCTGATGGAGCAGTTTTGAAACCCTCTTTCTTTGGAATCTGCAAGGGGATATGTGGACCTCTTTGAAGATTTCACTGGAAACGGGATCATCTTCACATAAAAACTAAACAGGAAGCATTCTCGGAAACTACTTTGTGATGTTTGTATTCAACTCCCAGAGTTGAACTTTCCTTTTGAAAGAGCAGCTATGAAACACTCTTTTTCGAGAATCTGCAAGTGGACGTTTGGAGGGCTTTGAGGCCTGTGGTGGAAAAGGAAATATCTTCACATAAAAACTAGATAGAAGCATTCTCAGAAACGACTTTGTGAGGATGGCATTCAACTCATGGAGTTGAACAATCCTATTGATAGAGCAGATTGGAATCACTCTTTTTGTAGAATCTGCAAATGGAGATTTGGACTGCTTTGAGGCCTACGGTCGTATAGGAAGGAACTTCATATAAAAGGCAAACGGAAGCATTCTCAGAATATTCTTTGTGATGATGGAGTTTCACTCACAGAGCTGAACATGCCTTTTGATGGAGCAGTTTCCAAATACACTTTTGGTAGAATCTGCAGGTGGATATTTGGACCTCTCTGAGGATTTCGTTGGAAACGGGAATAATTTCCCATAACTAAACACAAACACTCTGAGAAAGTTCTTCATGATGAATGCATTGAACTCGCAGAGATGAACCTGCCTTTGAGAGTTCAGGTTCGAAACACTCTTTCTGTAGAATCTGCAAGTGGATATTTGGACCACTGGCTGGCCTTCATTCGAAACGGGTATATGTTCACGTAAAAACTAAAGAGAAGCGTTCTCATAAACTTCTGAGTGATGATTGCATTCAAGTCACACAGTTGAACCCTCCTTTTGATTGAGCAGTTTTGAAACTGTCTTTTTGTAGAATCTGTAAGTGGATGCGTGGACCTCTTTGAAGATTTCTTTGGAAACGGGAATATTTCCACAGAAAAACTAAACTGAAAGCATTCTCAGAAACTGCTTTGTGATGTTTGTGTTCGAGCCGCAGAGTTTAACATTGCTTTTCATAGAGCAGTTTTGAAATATTCTTTTGGCAGAATCTGCAAGTGGACATTTGGAGCGCTTTCAGGCCTGTGGTGGAAAAGGCCTGAAAGCCTTTTCCTTTATCTTCACAGAAAGACGAGAGAGAGCATTGTCAGAAACTTCTTTGTGATGATTGCATTCAACCCACAGAGTTGAAGATTCCTTTTGAAACAGCAGTTTCGAAACACTCTTTCTGTGGGATCCGCAAGGGGATATTTGGACCTCTTTGAAGATTTCGTTGGAAACGGGATAATCTTCACCTAAAAGCTAAATGGAAGCATTCTCAGAAACTTCTTTGGGATGTTTGCATTCACCTCACAGAGTTGAACTTTCCCTTTGATAGCGCAGCTTCGACACACTTTTTCTCCAATGTGCAAGTGGATATTTAGCGGGCTTGGAGGACTGTGTTGGAAAAGGAAATATCTTCTCCTAAAAACGACATAGAAGCATTCTCAGAAACTGCTCTGTGATGATTGCATTCAACTCCCAGAGTTGAACATTCCTTTTGATAGAGCAGTTTGCAAACACTCTTTTTGTAGAATCTGCAAGTGGAGATTTGGACCGCTTTGAGGCCTGTGGTAGTAAAGGAAAGAACTTCATATAAAAACCAGACGGTAGCACTCTCAGAAAATTCTTTGTGACGATGGAGTTTAACTCAGAGAGCTGAACATTCGTTATGATGGAGCAGTTTCCAAACACACGTTTTGTAGAATCTGCAAGGGGATATTTGGACCTCTCTGAGGATTTCGTTGGAAACGGGATCAACTTCCCATAACTGAACGGAAGCAAACTCAGAACATTCTTTGTGATGTTTGTATTCAACTCACAGAGTTGAACCTTCCTTTGATAGTTCAGGTTTGCATCACCCTTGTAGTAGAATCTGCAAGTGTATATTTTGACCACTTAGTAGCCTTCGTTTGAAACGTCTATATCTTCACATCAAACCTAGACAGAAGCATTCTCAGAAAGTTTTCTGCGATGACTGCATTCAACTCACAGAGTTGAACACTCCTTTTGATGGAGCAGTTTTGAAACCCTCTTTCTTTGGAATCTGCAAGGGGATATGTGGACCTCTTTGAAGATTTCACTGGAAACGGGATCATCTTCACATAAGAACTAAACAGAAGCATTCTCGGAAACTACTTTGTGATGTTTGTATTCAACTCCCAGAGTTGAACTTTCCTTTTGAAAGAGCAGCTATGAAACACACTTTTTCGAGAATCTGCAAGTGGACGTTTGGAGGGCTTTGAGGCCTGTGGTGGAAAAGGAAATATCTTCACATGAAAACTAGATAGAAGCATTCTCAGAAACGACTTTGTGAGGATGGCATTCAACTCATGGAGTTGAACAATCCTATTGATAGAGCAGATTGGAATCACTCTTTTTGTAGAATCTGCAAATGGAGATTTGGACTGCTTTGAGGCCTACGGTAGTATAGGAAGGAACTTCATATAAAAGGCAAACGGAAGCATTCTCATTATATTCTTTGTGATGATGGAGTTTCACTCACAGAGCTGAACATGCCTTTTGATGGAGCAGTTTCCAAATACACTTTTGGTAGAATCTGCAGGTGGATATTTGGAGCTCTCTGAGGATTTCTTTGGAAACGGGAATAATTTCCCATAACTAAACACAAACACGCTGAGAAAGTTCTTCATGATGAATGCATTGAACTCGCAGAGATGAACCTGCCTTTGAGAGTTCAGGTTCGAAACACTCTTTCTGTAGAATCTGCAAGTGGATATTTGGACCACTGGCTGGCCTTCGTTCGAAACGGGTATATGTTCATGTAAAAACTAAAGAGAAGCGTTCTCATAAACTTCTGAGTGATGATTGCATTCAAGTCACACAGTTGAACCCTCCTTTTGATTGAGCAGTTTTGAAACTGTCTTTTTGTAGAATCTGTAAGTGGATGCGTGGACCTCTTTGAAGATTTCTTTGGAAACGGGAATATTTCCACAGAAAAACTAAACTGAAGCATTCTCAGAAACTGCTTTGTGATGTTTGTGTTCGAGCCACAGAGTTTAACATTGCTTTTCATAGAGCAGTTTTGAAATATTCTTTTGGCAGAATCTGCAAGTGGACATTTGGAGCGCTTTCAGGCCTGTGGTGGAAAAGGCCTGAAAGCCTTTTCCTTTATCTTCACAGAAAGACGAGAGAGAAGCATTGTCAGAAACTTCTTTGTGATGATTGCATTCAACTCACAGAGTTGAAGATTCCTTTTGAAACAGCAGTTTCGAAACACTCTTTCTGTGAGATCCGCAAGGGGATATTTGGACCTCTTTGAAGATTTCGTTGGAAACGGGATAATCTTCACCTAAAAGCTAAACGGAAGCATTCTCAGAAACTTCTTTGGGATGTTTGCATTCACCTCACAGAGTTGAACTTTCCCTTTGATAGCGCAGCTTCGACACACTTTTTCTACAATGTGCAAGTGGATATTTAGCGGGCTTGGAGGACTGTGTTGGAAAAGGAAATATCTTCTCCTAAAAACGACATAGAAGCATTCTCAGAAACTGCTCTGTGATGATTGCATTCAACTCCCAGAGTTGAACATTCCTTTTGATAGAGCAGTTTGCAAACACTCTTTTTGTAGAATCTGCAAGTGGAGATTTGGACCGCTTTGAGGCCTGTGGTAGTAAAGGAAAGAACTTCATATAAAAACTAGACGGTAGCACTCTCAGAAAATTCTTTGTGACGATGGAGTTTAACTCAGAGAGCTGAACATTCGTTATGATGGAGCAGTTTCCAAACACACGTTTTGTAGAATCTGCAAGGGGATATTTGGACCTCTCTGAGGATTTCGTTGGAAACGGCATCAACTTCCCATAACTGAACGGAAGCAAACTCAGAACATTCTTTGTGATGTTTGTATTCAACTCACAGAGTTGAACCTTCCTTTGATAGTTCAGGTTTGCATCACCCTTGTAGTAGAATCTGCAAGTGTATATTTTGACCACTTTGTAGCCTTCGTTTGAAACGTCTATATGCTTCACATCAAACCTAGACAGAAGCATTCTCAGAAAGTTTTCTGCGATGACTGCATTCAACTCACAGAGTTGAACAATCCTTCTGATGGAGCAGTTTTGAAACCCTCTTTCTTTGGAATCTGCAAGGGGATATGTGGACCTCTTTGAAGATTTCACTGGAAACGGGATCATCTTCACATAAAAACTAAACAGAAGCATTCTCGGAAACTACTTTGTGATGTTTGTATTCAGCTCCCAGAGTTGAACTTTCCTTTTGAAAGAGCAGCTATGAAACACTCTTTTTCGAGAATCTGCAAGTGGACGATTGGAGGGCTTTGAGGCCTGTGGTGGAAAAGGAAATATCTTCACATAAAAACTAGATAGAAGCATTCTCAGAAACGACTTTGTGAGGATGGCATTCAACTCCTGGAGTTGAACAATGCTATTGATAGAGCAGATTGGAATCACTCTTTTTGTAGAATCTGCAAATGGAGATTTGGACTGCTTTGAGGCCTACGGTAGTATAGGAAGGAACTTCATATAAAAGGCAAACGGAAGCATTCTCAGAATATTCTTTGTGATGATGGAGTTTCACTCACAGAGCTGAACATACCTTTTGATGGAGCAGTTTCCAAATAAACTTTTGGTAGAATCTGCAGGTGGATATTTGGAGCTCTCTGAGGATTTCGTTGGAAACGGGAATAATTTCCCATAACTAAACACAAACACGCTGAGAAAGTTCTTCATGATGAATGCATTTAACTCACAGAGATGAACCTGCCTTTGAGAGTTCAGGTTCGAAACACTCTTTCTGTAGAATCTGCAAGTGGATATTTGGACCACTGGCTGGCCTTCGTTCGAAACGGGTATATGTTCACGTAAAAACTAAAGAGAAGCGTTCTCAGAAACTTCTGAGTGATGATTGCATTCAAGTCACACAGTTGAACCCTCCTTTTGATTGAGCAGTTTTGAAACTGTCTTTTTGTAGAATCTGTAAGTGGATGCGTGGACCTCTTTGAAGATTTCTTTGGAAACGGGAATATTTCCACAGAAAAACTAAACTGAAGCATTCTCAGAAACGGCTTTGTGATGTTTGTGTTCGAGCCACAGAGTTTAACATTGCTTTTCATAGAGCAGTTTTGAAATATTCTTTTGGCAGAATCTGCAAGTGGACATTTGGAGCACGTTCAGGCCTGTGGTGGAAAAGGCCTGAAAGCCTTTTCCTTTACCTTCACAGAAAGACGAGAGAGAAGCATTGTCAGAAACTTCTTTGTGATGATTGCATTCAACTCACAGAGTTGAAGATTCCTTTTGAAACAGCAGTTTCGAAACACTCTTTCTGTGGGATCCGCAGGGGGATATTTGGACCTCTTTGAAGATTTCGTTGGAAACGGGATAATCTTCACCTAAAAGCTAAACGGAAGTATTCTCAGAAACTTCTTTGGGATGTTTGCATTCACCTCACAGAGTTGAACTTTCCCTTTGATAGCGCAGCTTCGACACACTTTTTCTACAATGTGCAAGTGGATATTTAGCGGGCTTGGAGGACTGTGTTGGAAACGGAAATATCTTCTCCTAAAAACGACATAGAAGCATTCTCAGAAACTGCTCTGTGATGATTGCTTTCAACTCCCAGAGTTGAACATTCCTTTTGATAGAGCAGTTTGCAAACACTCTTTTTGTAGAATCTGCAAGTGGAGATTTGGACCGCTTTGAGGCCTGTGGTAGTAAAGGAAAGAACTTCATATAAAAACTAGACGGTAGCACTCTCAGAAAATTCTTTGTGACGATGGAGTTTAACTCAGGGAGCTGAACATTCGTTATGATGGAGCAGTTTCCAAACACACGTTTTGTAGAATCTGCAAGGGGATATTTGGACCTCTCTGAGGATTTCGTTGGAAACGGGATCAACTTCCCATAACTGAACGGAAGCAAACTCAGAACATTCTTTGTGATGTTTGTATTCAACTCACAGAGTTGAACCTTCCTTTGATAGTTCAGGTTTGCAACACCCTTGTAGTAGAATCTGCAAGTGTATATTTTGACCACTTTGTAGCCTTCGTTTGAAACATCTATATCTTCACATCAAACCTAGAAAGAAGCATTCTCAGAAAGTTTTCTGCGATGACTGCATTCAACTCACAGAGTTGAACAATCCTTCTGATGGAGCAGTTTTGAAACCCTCTTTCTTTGGAATCTGCAAGGGGATATGTGGACCTCTTTGAAGATTTCACTGGAAACGGGATCATCTTCACATAAAAACTAAACTGAAGCATTCTCGGAAACTATTTTGTGATGTTTGTATTCAACTCCCAGAGTTGAACTTTCCTTTTGAAAGAGCAGCTATGAAACACTCTTTTTCGAGAATCTGCAAGTGGACGTTTGGAGGGCTTTGAGGCCTGTGGTGGAAAAGGAAATATCTTCACACAAAAACCAGATAGAAGCATTCTCAGAAACTACTTTGTGAGGATGGCATTCAACTCATGGAGTTGAACAATCCTATTGATAGAGCAGATTGGAATCACTCTTTTTATAGTATCTGCAAATGGAGATTTGGACTGCTTTGAGGCCTACGGTAGTACAGGAAGGAACTTCATATAAAAGGCAAACGGAAGCATTCTCAGAATATTCTTTGTGATGATGGAGTTTCACTCACAGAGCTGAACATGCCTTTTGATGGAGCAGTTTCCAAATACACTTTTGGTAGAATCTGCAGGTGGATATTTGGAGCTCTCTGAGGATTTCGTTGGAAACGGGAATAATTTCCCATAACTAAACACAAACACTCTGAGAAAGTTCTTCATGATGAATGCATTTAACTCGCAGAGATGAACCTGCCTTTGAGAGTTCAGGTTCGAAACACTCTTTCTGTATAATCTGCAAGTGGATATTTGGACCACTGGGTGGCCTTCGTTCGAAACGGGTATATGTTCACGTAAAAACTAAAGAGAAGCATTCTCAGAAACTTCTGAGTGATGATTGCATTCAAGTCACACAGTTGAACCCTCCTTTTGATGGAGCAGTTTTGAAACTGTCTTTTTGTAGAATCTGTAAGTGGATGCGTGGACCTCTTTGAAGATTTCTTTGGAAACGGGAATATTTCCACAGAAAAACTAAACTGAAGCATTCTCAGAAACCGCGTTGTGATGTTTGTGTTCGAGCCACTGAGTTTAACATTGCTTTTCACAAAGCAGTTTTGAAATATTCTTTTCGCAGAATCTGCAAGTGGACATTTGGAGCGCTTTCAGGCCTGTGGTGGAAAAGGCCTGAAAGCCTTTTCCTTTATCTTCACAGAAAGACGAGAGAGAAGCATTGTCAGAAACTTCTTTGTGATGATTGCATTCAACTCACAGAGTTGAAGATTCCTTTTGAAACAGCAGTTTCGAAACACTCTTTCTGTGGGATCCGCAAGGGGATATTTGGACCTCTTTGAAGGTTTCGTTGGAAACGGGATAATCTTCACCTAAAAGCTAAACGGAAGCACTCTCAGAAACTTCTTTGGGATGTTTGCATTCACCTCTCAGAGTTGAACTTTCCCTTTGATAGCGCAGCTTTGACACACTTTTTCTAAAATGTGCAAGTGGCTATTTAGCGGGCTTGGAGGACTGTGTTGGAAAAGGAAATATCTTCTCCTAAAAACGACATAGAAGCATTCTCAGAAACTGCTCTGTGATGATTGCATTCAACTCCCAGAGTTGAACATTCCTTTTGATAGAGCAGTTTGCAAACACTCTTTTTGTAGAATCTGCAAGTGGAGATTTGGACCGCTTTGAGGCCTGGGGTAGTGAAGGAAAGAGCTTCATATAAAAACCAGACGGTAGCACTCTCAGAAAATTCTTTGTGACGATGGAGTTTAACTCAGGGAGCTGAACATTCGTTATGATGGAGCAGTTTCCAAACACACGTTTTGTAGAATCTGCAAGGGGATATTTGGACCTCTCTGAGGATTTCGTTGGAAACGGGATCAACTTCCCATAACTGAACGGAAGCAAACTCAGAACATTCTTTGTGATGTTTGTATTCAACTCACAGAGTTGAACCTTCCTTTGGTAGTTCAGGTTTGCAACACCCTTGTAGTAGAATCTGCAAGTGTATATTTTGACCACTTTGTAGCCTTCGTTTGAAACGTCTATATCTTCACATCAAACCTAGACAGAAGCATTCTCAGAAAGTTTTCTGCGATGACTGCATTCAACTCACAGAGTTGAACAATCCTTCTGATGGAGCAGTTTTGAAACCCTCTTTCTTTGGAATCTGCAAGGGGATATGTGGACCTCTTTGAAGATTTCACTGGAAACGGGATCATCTTCACATAAAAACTAAACAGAAGCATTCTCGGAAACTACTTTGTGATGTTTGTATTCAACTCCCAGAGTTGAACTTTCCTTTTGAAAGAGCAGCTATGAAACACTCTTTTTCGAGAATCTGCAAGTGGACGTTTGGAGGGCTTTGAGGCCTGTGGTGGAAAAGGAAATATCTTCACATAAAAACTAGATAGAAGCATTCTCAGAAACTACTTTGTGAGGATGGCATTCAACTCATGGAGTTGAACAATCCTATTGATAGAGCAGATTGGAATCACTCTTTTTGTAGAATCTGCAAATGGAGATTTGGACTGCTTTGAGGCCTACGGTCGTATAGGAAGGAACTTCATATAAAAGGCAAACGGAAGCATTCTCAGAATATTCTTTGTGATGATGGAGTTTCACTCACAGAGCTGAACATGCCTTTTGATGGAGCAGTTTCCAAATACACTTTTGGTAGAATCTGCAGGTGGATATTTGGAGCTCTCTGAGGATTTCGTTGGAAACGGGAATAATTTCCCATAACTAAACACAAACACTCTGAGAAAGTTCTTCATGATGAATGCATTTAACTCGCAGAGATGAACCTGCCTTTGAGAGTTCAGGTTCGAAACACTCTTTCTGTAGAATCTGCAAGTGGATATTTGGACCACTGGCTGGCCTTCGTTCGAAACGGGTATATGTTCACGTAAAAACTAAAGAGAAGCATTCTCAGAAACTTCTGAGTGATGATTGCATTCAAGTCACACAGTTGAACCCTCCTTTTGATGGAGCAGTTTTGAAACTGTCTTTTTGTAGAATCTGTAAGTGGATACGTGGACCTCTTTGAAGATTTCTTTGGAAACGGGAATATTTCCACAGAAAAACTAAACTGAAGCATTCTCAGAAACCGCTTTGTGATGTTTGTGTTCGAGCCACAGAGTTTAACATTGCTTTTCATAGAGCAGTTTTGAAATATTCTTTTCGCAGAATCTGCAAGTGGACATTTGGAGCGCTTTCAGGCCTGTGGTGGAAAAGGCCTGAAAGCCTTTTCCTTTATCTTCACAGAAAGACGAGAGAGAAGCATTGTCAGAAACTTCTTTGTGATGATTGCATTCAACTCACAGAGTTGAAGATTCCTTTTGAAACAGCAGTTTCGAAACACTCTTTCTGTGGGATCCGCAAGGGGATATTTGGACCTCTTTGAAGGTTTCGTTGGAAACGGGATAATCCTCACCTAAAAGCTAAACGGAAGCATTCTCAGAAACTTCTTTGGGATGTTTGCATTCACCTCACAGAGTTGAACTTTCCCTTTGATAGCGCAGCTTCGACACACTTTTTCTACAATGTGCAAGTGGCTATTTAGCGGGCTTGGAGGACTGTGTTGGAAAAGGAAATATCTTCTCCTAAAAACGACATAGAAGCATTCTCAGAAACTGCTCTGTGATGATTGCATTCAACTCCCAGAGTTGAACATTCCTTTTGATAGAGCAGTTTGCAAACACTCTTTTTGTAGAATCTGCAAGTGGAGATTTGGACCGCTTTGAGGCCTGTGGTAGTGAAGGAAAGAACTTCATATAAAAACCAGACGGTAGCACTCTCAGAAAATTCTTTGTGACGATGGAGTTTAACTCCGGGAGCTGAACATTCGTTATGATGGAGCAGTTTCCAAACACACGTTTTGTAGAATCTGCGAGGGGATATTTGGACCTCTCTGAGGATTTCGTTGGAAACGGGATCAACTTCCCATAACTGAACGGAAGCAAACTCAGAACATTCTTTGTGATGTTTGCATTCATCTCACAGAGTTGAACCTTCCTTTGATAGTTGAGGTTTGCATCACCCTTGTAGTAGAATCTGCAAGTGTATATTTTGACCACTTTGTAGCCTTCGTTTGAAACGTCTATATCTTCACATCAAACCTAGACAGAAGCATTCTCAGAAAGTTTTCTGCGATGACTGCATTCAACTCACAGAGTTGAACAATCCTTTTGATGGAGCAGTTTTGAAACCCTCTTTTTTTGGAATCTGCAAGGGGATATGTGGACCTATTTGAAGATTTCACTGGAAACGGGATCATCTTCACATAAGAACTAAACAGAAGCATTCTCGGAAACTACTTTGTGATGTTTGTATTCAACTCCCAGAGTTGAACTTTCCTTTTGAAAGAGCAGCTATGAAACACTCTTTTTCGGGAATCTGCAAGTGGACGTTTGGAGGGCTTTGAGGCCTGTGGTGGAAAAGGAAATATCTTCACATAAAAACTACATAGAAGCATTCTCAGAAACTACTTTGTGAGGATGGCATTCAACTCATGGAGTTGAACAATCCTATTGATAGAGCAGATTGGAATCACTCTTTTTGTAGAATCTGCAAATGGAGATTTGGACTGCTTTGAGGCCTACGGTAGTATAGGAAGGAACTTCATATAAAAGGCAAACGGAAGCATTCTCAGAATATTCTTTGTGATGACGGAGTTTCACTCACAGAGCTGAACATGCCTTTTCATGGAGCAGTTTCCAAATACACTTTTGGTACAATCTGCAGGTGGATATTTGGAGCTCTCTGAGGATTTCGTTGGAAACGGGAATAATTTCCCATAACTAAACACAAACACGCTGAGAAAGTTCTTCATGATGAATGCATTTAACTCGCAGAGATGAACCTGCCTTTGAGAGTTCAGGTTCAAAACACTCTTTCTGTAGAATCTGCAAGTGGATATTTGGACCACTGGCTGGCCTTCATTCGAAACGGGTATATGTTCACGTAAAAACTAAAGAGAAGCGTTCTCAGAAACTTCTGAGTGATGAATGCATTCAAGTCACACAGTTGAACCCTCCTTTTGATTGAGCAGTTTTTAAACTGTCTTTTTGTAGAATCTGTAAGTGGATGCGTGGACCTCTTTGAAGATTTCTTTGGAAACGGGAATATTTCCACAGAAAAACTAAACTGAAGCATTCTCAGAAACTGCTTTGTGATGTTTGTGTTCGAGCCACAGAGTTTAACATTGCTTTTCATAGAGCAGTTTTGAAATATTCTTTTGGCAGAATCTGCAAGTGGACATTTGGAGCGCTTTCAGGCCTGTGGTGGAAAAGGCCTGAAAGCCTTTTCCTTTATCTTCACAGAAAGACGAGAGAGAAGCATTGTCAGAAACTTCTTTGTGATGATTGCATTCAACTCACAGAGTTGAAGATTCCTTTTGAAACAGCAGTTTCGAAACACTCTTTCTGTGGGATCCGCAAGGGGATATTTGGACCTCTTTGAAGGTTTCGTTGGAAACGGGATAATCTTCACCTAAAAGCTAAACGGAAGCATTCTCAGAAACTTCTTTGGGATGTTTGCATTCACCTCACAGAGTTGAACTTTCCCTTTGATAGCGCAGCTTCGACACACTTTTTCTACAATGTGCAAGTGGATATTTAGCGGGCTTGGAGGACTGTGTTGGAAAAGGAAATATCTTCTCCTAAAAACGACATAGAAGCATTCTCAGAAACTGCTCTGTGATGATTGCATTCAACTCCCAGAGTTGAACATTCCTTTTGATAGAGCAGTTTGCAAACACTGTTTTTGTAGAATCTGCAAGTGGAGATTTGGACCGCTTTGAGGCCTGTGGTAGTAAAGGAAAGAACTTCATATAAAAACTAGACGGTAGCACCCTCAGAAAATTCTTTGTGACGATGGAGTTTAACTCAGAGAGCTGAACATTCGTTATGATGGAGCAGTTTCCAAACACACGTTTTGTAGAATCTGCAAGGGGATATTTGGACCTCTCTGAGGATTTCGTTGGAAACGGGATCAACTTCCCATAGCTGAACGGAAGCAAACTCAGAACATTCTTTGTGATGTTTGTATTCAACTCACAGAGTTGAACCTTCCTTTGATAGTTCAGGTTTGCATCACCCTTGTAGTAGAATCTGCAAGTGTATATTTTGACCACTTTGTAGCGTTCGTTTGAAACGTCTATATCTTCACATCAAACCTAGACAGAAGCATTCTCAGAAAGTTTTCTGCGATGACTGCATTCAACTCACAGAGTTGAACAATCCTTCTGATGGAGCAGTTTTGAAACCCTCTTTCTTTGGAATCTGCAAGGGGATATGTGGACCTCTTTGAAGATTTCACTGGAAACGGGATCATCTTCACATAAAAACTAAACAGAAGCATTCTCGGAAACTACTTTGTGATGTTTGTATTCAACTCCCAGAGTTGAACTTTCCTTTTGAAAGAGCAGCTATGAAACACTCTTTTTCGAGAATCTGCAAGTGGACGTTTGGAGGGCTTTGAGGCCTGTGGTGGAAAAGGAAATATCTTCACATAAAAACTAGATAGAAGCATTCTCAGAAACTACTTTGTGAGGATGGCATTCAACTCATGGAGTTGAACAATCCTATTGATAGAGCAGATTGGAATCACTCTTTTTGTAGAATCTGCAAATGGAGATTTGGACTGCTTTGAGGCCTACGGTAGTATAGGAAGGAACTTCATATAAAAGGCAAACGGAAGCATTCTCAGAATATTCTTTGTGATGATGGAGTTTCACTCACAGAGCTGAACATGCCTTTTGATGGAGCAGTTTCCAAATACACTTTTGGTAGAATCTGCAGGTGGATATTTGGACCTCTCTGAAGATTTCGTTGGAAACGGGAATAATTTCCCATACCTAAACACAAACACTCTGAGAAAGTTCTTCATGATGAATGCATTGAACTCGCAGAGATGAACCTGCCTTTGAGAGTTCAGGTTCGAAACACTCTTTCTGTAGAATCTGCAAGTGGATATTTGGACCACTGGGTGGCCTTCGTTCGAAACGGGTATATGTTCACGTAAAAACTAAAGAGAAGCATTCTCAGAAACTTCTGAGTGATGATTGCATTCAAGTCACACGGTTGAACCCTCCTTTTGATTGAGCAGTTTTGAAACTGTCTTTTTGTAGAATCTGTAAGCGGGTACGTGGACCTCTTTGAAGATTTCTTTGGAAACGGGAATATTTCCACAGAAAAACTAAACTGAAGCATTCTCAGAAACTGCTTTGTGATGTTTGTGTTCGAGCCGCAGAGTTTAACATTGCTTTTCATAGAGCAGTTTTGAAATATTCTTTTGGCAGAATCTGCAAGTGGACATTTGGAGCGCTTTCAGGCCTGTGGTGGAAAAGGCCTGAAAGCCTTTTCCTTTATCTTCACAGAAAGACGAGAGAGAAGCATTGTCAGAAACTTCTTTGTGATGATTGCATTCAACTCACAGAGTTGAAGATTCCTTTTGAAACAGCAGTTTCGAAACACTCTTTCTGTGGGATCCGCAAGGGGATATTTGGACCTCTTTGAAGATTTCGTTGGAAACGGAATAATCTTCACTTAAAGCTAAACGGAAGCATTCTCAGAAACTTCTTTGGGATGTTTGCATTCACCTCACAGAGTTGAACTTTCCCTTTGATAGCACAGCTTCGACACACTTTTTCTACAATGTGCAAGTGGATACATAGCGGGCTTGGAGGACTGTGTTGGAAAAGGATATATCTTCTCCTAAAAACGACATAGAAGCATTCTCAGAAACTGCTCTGTGATGATTGCATTCAACTCCCAGAGTTGAACATTCCTTTTGATAGAGCAGTTTGCAAACACTCTTTTTGTAGAATCTGCAAGTGGAGATTTGGACCGCTTTGAGGCCTGTGGTAGTGAAGGAAAGAACTTCATATAAAAACCAGACGGTAGCACTCTCAGAAAATTCTTTGTGACGATGGAGTTTAACTCAGGGAGCTGAACATTCGTTATGATGGAGCAGTTTCCAAAAACACGTTTTGTAGAATCTGCGAGGGGATATTTGGACCTCTCTGAGGATTTCGTTGGAAACGGGATCAACTTCCCATAACTGAACGGAAGCAAACTCAGAACATTCTTTGTGATGTTTGTATTCAACTCACAGAGTTGAACCATCCTTTGATAGTTCAGGTTTGTAACACCCTTGTAGTAGAATCTGCAAGTGTATATTTTGACCACTTTGTAGCCTTCGTTTGAAACGTCTATATCTTCACATCAAACCTAGACAGAAGCATTCTCAGAAAGTTTTCTGCGATGACTGCATTCAACTCACAGAGTTGAACAATCCTTCTGATGGAGCAGTTTTGAAACCCTCTTTCTTTGGAATCTGCAAGGGGATATGTGGACCTCTTTGAAGATTTCACTGGAAACGGGATCATCTTCACATAAAAACTAAACAGAAGCATTCTCGGAAACTACTTTGTGATGTTTGTATTCAACTCCCAGAGTTGAACTTTCCTTTTGAAAGAGCAGCTATGAAACACTCTTTTTCGAGAATCTGCAAGTGGACGTTTGGAGGGCTTTGAGGCCTGTGGTGGAAAAGGAAATATCTTCACATAAAAACTAGATAGAAGCATTCTCAGAAACGACTTTGTGAGGATGGCATTCAACTCATGGAGTTGAACAATCCTATTGATAGAGCAGATTGGAATCACTCTTTTTGTAGAATCTGCAAATGGAGATTTGGACTGCTTTGAGGCCTACGGTCGTATAGGAAGGAACTTCATATAAAAGGCAAACGGAAGCATTCTCAGAATATTCTTTGTGATGATGGAGTTTCACTCACAGAGCTGAACGTGCCTTTTGATGGAGCAGTTTCCAAATACACTTTTGGTAGAATCTGCAGGTGGATATTTGGAGCTCTCTGAGGATTTCGTTGGAAACGGGAATAATTTCCCATAACTAAACACAAACACTCTGAGAAAGTTCTTCATGATGAATGCATTTAACTCGCAGAGATGAACCTGCCTTTGAGAGTTCAGGTTCGAAACACTCTTTCTGTAGAATCTGCAAGTGGATATTTGGACCACTGGGTGGCCTTCGTTCGAAACGGGTATATGTTCACGTAAAAACTAAAGAGAAGCATTCTCAGAAACTTCTGAGTGATGATTGCATTCAAGTCACACAGTTGAACCCTCCTTTTGATGGAGCAGTTTTGAAACTGTCTTTTTGTAGAATCTGTAAGTGGATACGTGGACCTCTTTGAAGATTTCTTTGGAAACGGGAATATTTCCACAGAAAAACTAAACTGAAGCATTCTCAGAAACTGCTTTGTGATGTTTGTGTTCGAGCCACAGAGTTTAACATTGCTTTTCATAGAGCAGTTTTGAAATATTCTTTTGGCAGAATCTGCAAGTGGACATTTGGAGCGCTTTCAGGCCTGTGGTGGAAAAGGCCTGAAAGCCTTTTCCTTTATCTTCACAGGAAGACGAGAGAGAAGCATTGTCAGAAACTTCTTTGTGATGATTGCATTCAACTCACAGAGTTGAAGATTCCTTTTGAAACAGCAGTTTCGAAACACTCTTTCTGTGGGATCCGCAAGGGGATATTTGGACCTCTTTGAAGGTTTCGTTGGAAACGGGATAATCTTCACCTAAAAGCTAAACGGAAGCACTCTCAGAAACTTCTTTGGGATGTTTGCATTCACCTCTCAGAGTTGAACTTTCCCTTTGATAGCGCAGCTTTGACACACTTTTTCTACAATGTGCAAGTGGCTATTTAGCGGGCTTGGAGGACTGTGTTGGAAAAGGAAATATCTTCTCCTAAAAACGACATAGAAGCATTCTCAGAAACTGCTCTGTGATGATTGCATTCAACTCCCAGAGTTGAACATTCCTTTTGATAGAGCAGTTTGCAAACACTCTTTTTGTAGAATCTGCAAGTGGAGATTTGGACCGCTTTGAGGCCAGTGGTAGTGAAGGAAAGAACTTCATATAAAAACCAGACGGTAGCACTCTCAGAAAATTCTTTGTGACGATGGAGTTTAACTCAGGGAGCTGAACATTCGTTATGATGGAGCAGTTTCCAAACACACGTTTTGTAGAATCTGCAAGGGGATATTTGGACCTCTCTGAGGATTTCGTTGGAAACGGGATCAACTTCCCATAACTGAACGGAAGCAAACTCAGAACATTCTTTGTGATGTTTGTATTCAACTCACAGAGTTGAACCTTCCTTTGATAGTTCAGGTTTGCAACACCCTTGTAGTAGAATCTGCAACTGTATATTTTGACCACTTTGTAGCCTTCGTTTGAAACGTCTATATCTTCACATCAAACCTAGACAGAAGCATTCTCAGAAAGTTTTCTGCGATGACTGCATTCAACTCACAGAGCTGAACAATCCTTCTGATGGAGCAGTTTTGAAACCCTCTTTCTTTGGAATCTGCAAGGGGATATGTGGACCTCTTTGAAGATTTCACTGGAAACGGGATCATCTTCACATAAAAACTAAACAGAAGCATTCTCGGAAACTACTTTGTGATGTTTGTATTCAACTCCCAGAGTTGAACTTTCCTTTTGAAAGAGCAGCTATGAAACACTCTTTTTCGAGAATCTGCAAGTGGACGTTTGGAAGGCTTTGAGGCCTGTGGTGGAAAAGGAAATATCTTCACATAAAAACTAGATAGAAGCATTCTCAGAAACGACTTTGTGAGGATGGCATTCAACTCATGGAGTTGAACAATCCTATTGATAGAGCAGATTGGAATCACTCTTTTTGTAGAATCTGCAAATGGAGATTTGGACTGCTTTGAGGCCTACGGTAGTATAAGAAGGAACTTCATATAAAAGGCAAAAGGAAGCATTCTCAGAATATTCTTTGTGATGATGGAGTTTCACTCACAGAGCTGAACATGCCTTTTGATGAAGCAGTTGCCAAATACACTTTTGGTAGAATCTGCAGGTGGATATTTGGACCTCTCTGAGGAATTTCGTTGGAAACGGGAATAATTTCCCATACCTAAACACAAACACGCTGAGAAAGTTCTTCATGATGAATGCATTGAACACGCAGAGATGAACCTGCCTTTGAGAGTTCAGGTTCGAAACACTCTTTCTGTAGAATCAGCAAGTGGATATTTGGACCACTGGCTGGCCTTCGTTCGAAACGGGTATATGTTCATGTAAAAACTAAAGAGAAGCGTTCTCATAAACTTCTGAGTGATGATTGCATTCAAGTCACACAGTTGAACCCTCCTTTTGATTGAGCAGTTTTGAAACTGTCTTTTTGTAGAATCTGTAAGTGGATGCGTGGACCTCTTTGAAGATTTCTTTGGAAACGGGAATATTTCCACAGAAAAACTAAACTGAAGCATTCTCAGAAACTGCTTTGTGATGTTTGTGTTCGAGCCACAGAGTTTAACATTGCTTTTCATAGAGCAGTTTTGAAATATTCTTTTGGCAGAATCTGCAAGTGGACATTTGGAGCGCTTTCAGGCCTGTGGTGGAAAAGGCCTGAAAGCCTTTTCCTTTATCTTCACAGAAAGACGAGAGAGAAGCATTGTCAGAAACTTCTTTGTGATGATTGCATTCAACTCACAGAGTTGAAGATTCCTTTTGAAACAGCAGTTTCGAAACACTCTTTCTGTGGGATCCGCAAGGGGATATTTGGACCTCTTTGAAGATTTCGTTGGAAACGGGATAATCTTCACCTAAAAGCTAAACGGAAGCATTCTCAGAAACTTCTTTGGGATGTTTGCATTCACCTCACAGAGTTGAACTTTCCCTTTGATAGCGCAGCTTCGACACACTTTTTCTACAATGTGCAAGTGGATATTTAGCGGGCTTGGAGGACTGTGTTGGAAAAGGAAATATCTTCTCCTAAAAACGACATAGAAGCATTCTCAGAAACTGCTCTGTGATGATTGCATTCAACTCCCAGAGTTGAACATTCCTTTTGATAGAGCAGTTTGCAAACACTCTTTTTGTAGAATCTGCAAGTGGAGATTTGGACCGCTTTGAGGCCTGTGGTAGTAAAGGGAAGAACTTCATATAAAAACCAGACGGTAGCACTCTCAGAAAATTCTTTGTGACGATGGAGTTTAACTCAGAGAGCTGAACATTCGTTATGATGGAGCAGTTTCCAAACACACGTTTTGTAGAATCTGCAAGGGGATATTTGGACCTCTCTGAGGATTTCGTTGGAAACGGTATCAATTTCCCATAACTAAACGGAAGCAAACTCAGAACATTTTTTGTGATGGTTGCATTCATCTCACAGAGTTGAACCTTCCTTTGATAGTTGAGGTTTGCATCACCCTTGTAGTAGAATCTGCAAGTGTATATTTTGACCACTTTGTAGCCTTCGTTTGAAACGTCTATATCTTCACATCAAACCTAGACAGAAGCATTCTCAGAAAGTTTTCTGCGATGACTGCATTCAACTCACAGAGTTGAACAATCCTTTTGATGGAGCAGTTTTGAAACCCTCTTTCTTTGGAATCTGCAAGGGGATATGTGGACCTCTTTGAAGATTTCACTGGAAACGGGATCATCTTCACATAAGAACTAAACAGAAGCATTCTCGGAAACTACTTTGTGATGTTTGTATTCAACTCCCAGAGTTGAACTTTCCTTTTGAAAGAGCAGCTATGAAACACTCTTTTTCGAGAATCTGCAAGTGGACGTTTGGAGGGCTTTGAGGCCTGTGGTGGAAAAGGAAATATCTTCACATAAAAACTAGAATAGAAGCATTCTCAGAAACGACTTTGTGAGGATGGCATTCAACTCATGGAGTTGAACAGTCCTATTGATAGAGGAGATTGGAATCACTCTTTTTGTAGAATCTGCAAATGGAGATTTGGACTGCTTTGAGGCCTACGGTAGTATAGGAAGGAACTTCATATAAAAGGCAAACGGAAGCATTCTCAGAATATTTTGTGTGATGATGGAGTTTCACTCACAGAGCTGAACATGCCTTTTGATGGAGCAGTTTCCAAATACACTTTTGGTAGAATCTGCAGGTGGATATTTGGAGCTCTCTGAGGATTTCGTTGGAAACGGGAATAATTTCCCATAACTAAACACAAACACGCTGAGAAAGTTCTTCATGATGAATGCATTGAACTCGCAGAGATGAACCTGCCTTTGAGAGTTCAGATTCGAAACACTCTTTCTGTAGAATCTGCAAGTGGATATTTGGACCACTGGCTGGCCTTCGTTCGAAACGGGTATATGTTCACGTAAAAACTAAAGAGAAGCGTTCTCAGAAACTTCTGAGTGATGATTGCATTCAAGTCACACAGTTGAACCCTCCTTTTGATTGAGCAGTTTTGAAACTGTCTTTTTGTAGAATCTGTAAGTGGATGCGTGGACCTCTTTGAAGATTTCTTTGGAAACGGGAATATTTCCACAGAAAAACTAAACTGAAGCATTCTCAGAAACTGCTTTGTGATGTTTGTGTTCGAGCCACAGAGTTTAACATTGCTTTTCATAGAGCAGTTTTGAAATATTCTTTTGGCAGAATCTGCAAGTGGACATTTGGAGCGCTTTCAGGCCTGTGGTGGAAAAGGCCTGAAAGCCTTTTCCTTTATCTTCACAGGAAGACGAGAGAGAAGCATTGTCAGAAACTTCTTTGTGATGATTGCATTCAACTCACAGAGTTGAAGATTCCTTTTGAAACAGCAGTTTCGAAACACTCTTTCTGTGGGATCCGCAAGGGGATATTTGGACCTCTTTGAAGGTTTCGTTGGAAACGGGATAATCTTCACCTAAAAGCTAAACGGAAGCACTCTCAGAAACTTCTTTGGGATGTTTGCATTCACCTCTCAGAGTTGAACTTTCCCTTTGATAGCGCAGCTTTGACACACTTTTTCTACAATGTGCAAGTGGCTATTTAGCGGGCTTGGAGGACTGTGTTGGAAAAGGAAATATCTTCTCCTAAAAACGACATAGAAGCATTCTCAGAAACTGCTCTGTGATGATTGCATTCAACTCCCAGAGTTGAACATTCCTTTTGATAGAGCAGTTTGCAAACACTCTTTTTGTAGAATCTGCAAGTGGAGATTTGGACCGCTTTGAGGACTGGGGTAGTAAAGGAAAGAGCTTCATATAAAAACCAGACGGTAGCACTCTCAGAAAATTCTTTGTGACGATGGAGTTTAACTCAGGGAGCTGAACATTCGTTATGATGGAGCAGTTTCCAAACACACGTTTTGTAGAATCTGCAAGGGGATATTTGGACCTCTCTGAGGATTTCGTTGGAAACGGGATCAACTTCCCATAACTGAACGGAAGCAAACTCAGAACATTCTTTGTGATGTTTGTATTCAACTCACAGAGTTGAACCTTCCTTTGATAGTTCAGGTTTGCAACACCCTTGTAGTAGAATCTGCAAGTGTATATTTTGACCACTTTGTAGCCTTCGTTTGAAACGTCTATATCTTCACATCAAACCTAGACAGAAGCATTCTCAGAAAGTTTTCTGCGATGACTGCATTCAACTCACAGAGTTGAACAATCCTTCTGATGGAGCAGTTTTGAAACCCTCTTTCTTTGGAATCTGCAAGGGGATATGTGGACCTCTTTGAAGATTTCACTGGAAACGGGATCATCTTCACATAAAAACTAAACAGAAGCATTCTCGGAAACTACTTTGTGATGTTTGTATTCAACTCCCAGAGTTGAACTTTCCTTTTGAAAGAGCAGCTATGAAACACTCTTTTTCGAGAATCTGCAAGTGGACGTTTGGAGGGCTTTGAGGCCTGTGGTGGAAAAGGAAATATCTTCACACAAAAACCAGATAGAAGCATTCTCAGAAACTACTTTGTGAGGATGGCATTCAACTCATGGAGTTGAACAATCCTATTGATAGAGCAGATTGGAATCACTCTTTTCATAGAATCTGCAAATGGAGATTTGGACTGCTTTGAGGCCTACGGTAGTACAGGAAGGAACTTCATATAAAAGGCAAACGGAAGCATTCTCAGAATATTCTTTGTGATGATGGAGTTTCACTCACAGAGCTGAACATGCCTTTTGATGGAGCAGTTTCCAAATACACTTTTGGTAGAATCAGCAGGTGGATATTTGGAGCTCTCTGAGGATTTCGTTGGAAACGGGAATAATTTCCCATAACTAAACACAAACACTCTGAGAAAGTTCTTCATGATGAATGCATTTAACTCGCAGAGATGAACCTGCCTTTGAGAGTTCAGGTTCGAAACACTCTTTCTGTAGAATCTGCAAGTGGATATTTGGACCACTGGGTGGCCTTCGTTCGAAACGGGTATATGTTCACGTAAAAACTAAAGAGAAGCATTCTCAGAAACTTCTGAGTGATGATTGCATTCAAGTCACACAGTTGAACCCTCCTTTTGATGGAGCAGTTTTGAAACTGTCTTTTTGTAGAATCTGTAAGTGGATACGTGGACCTCTTTGAAGATTTCTTTGGAAACGGGAATATTTCCACAGAAAAACTAAACTGAAACATTCTCAGAAACCGCTTTGTGATGTTTGTGTTCCAGCCACAGAGTTTAACATTGCTTTTCATAGAGCAGTTTTGAAATATTCTTTTCGCAGAATCTGCAAGTGGACATTTGGAGCGCTTTCAGGCCTGTGGTGGAACAGGCCTGAAAGCCTTTTCCTTTATCTTCACAGAAAGGCGAGAGAGAAGCATTGTCAGAAACTTCTTTGTGATGATTGCATTCAACTCACAGAGTTGAAGATTCCTTTTGAAACAGCAGTTTCGAAACACTCTTTCTGTGGGATCCGCAAGGGGATATTTGGACCTCTTTGAAGGTTTCGTTGGAAACGGGATAATCTTCACCTAAAAGCTAAACGGAAGCATTCTCAGAAACTTCTTTGGGATGTTTGCATTCACCTCACAGAGTTGAACTTTCCCTTTGATAGCGCAGCTTTGACACACTTTTTCTACAATGTGCAAGTGGCTCTTTAGCGGGCTTGGAGGACTGTGTTGGAAAAGGAAATATCTTCTCCTAAAAACGACATAGAAGCATTCTCAGAAACTGCTCTGTGATGATTGCATTCAACTCCCAGAGTTGAACATTCCTTTTGATAGAGCAGTTTGCAAACACTCTTTTTGTAGAATCTGCAAGTGGAGATTTGGACCGCTTTGAGGCCTGTGGTAGTGAAGGAAAGAGCTTCATATAAAAACCAGACGGTAGCACTCTCAGAAAATTCTTTGTGACGATGGAGTTTAACTCAGGGAGCTGAACATTCGTTATGATGGAGCAGTTTCCAAACACACGTTTTGTAGAATCTGCAAGGGGATATTTGGACCTCTCTGAGGATTTCGTTGGAAACGGGATCAACTTCCCATAACTGAACGGAAGCAAACTCAGAACAT
This sequence comes from Homo sapiens, assembly GCF_000001405.40. Taxonomy (NCBI): domain Eukaryota; kingdom Metazoa; phylum Chordata; class Mammalia; order Primates; family Hominidae; genus Homo; species Homo sapiens. The sequence continues at coordinate 61,200,780 of NC_000023.11, forward strand.
TCTTTGTGATGTTTGTATTCAACTCACAGAGTTGAACCTTCCTTTGATAGTTCAGGTTTGCAACACCCTTGTAGTAGAATCTGCAAGTGTATATTTTGACCACTTTGTAGCCTTCGTTTGAAAGGTCTATATCTTCACATCAAACCTAGACAGAAGCATTCTCAGAAAGTTTTCTGCGATGACTGCATTCAACTCACAGAGTTGAACAATCCTTCTGATGGAGCAGTTTTGAAACCCTCTTTCTTTGGAATCTGCAAGGGGATATGTGGACCTCTTTGAAGATTTCACTGGAAACGGGATCATCTTCACATAAAAACTAAACAGAAACATTCTCGGAAACTACTTTGTGATGTTTGTATTCAACTCCCAGAGTTGAACTTTCCTTTTGAAAGAGCAGCTATGAAACACTCCTTTTCGAGAATCTGCAAGTGGACGTTTGGAGGGCTTTGAGGCCTGTGGTGGAAAAGTTAATATCTTCACATAAAAACTAGATAGAAGCATTCTCAGAAACGACTTTGTGAGGATGGCATTCAACTCATGGAGTTGAACAATCCTATTGATAGAGCAGATTGGAATCACTCTTTTTGTAGAATCTGCAAATGGAGATTTGGACTGCTTTGAGGCCTACGGTCGTATAGGAAGGAACTTCATATAAAAGGCAAACGGAAGCATTCTCAGAATGTTCTTTGTGATGATGGAGTTTCACTCACAGAGCTGAACATGCCTGTTGATGGAGCAGTTTCCAAATACACTTTTGGTAGAATCTGCAGGTGGATATTTGGAGCTCTCTGAGGATTTCATTGGAAACGGGAATAATTTCCCATAACTAAACACAAACACTCTGAGAAAGTTCTTCATGATGAATGCATTTAACTCGCAGAGATGAACCTGCCTTTGAGAGTTCAGGTTCGAAACACTCTTTCTGTATAATCTGCAAGTGGATATTTGGACCACTGGGTGGCCTTCGTTCGAAACGGGTATATGTTCACGTAAAAACTAAAGAGAAGCATTCTCAGAAACTTCTGAGTGATGATTGCATTCAAGTCACACAGTTGAACCCTCCTTTTGATGGAGCAGTTTTGAAACTGTCTTTTTGTAGAATCTGTAAGTGGATACGTGGACCTCTTTGAAGATTTCTTTGGAAACGGGAATATTTCCACAGAAAAACTAAACTGAAGCATTCTCAGAAACCGCTTTGTGATGTTTGTGTTCGAGCCACAGAGTTTAACATTGCTTTTCATAGAGCAGTTTTGAAATATTCTTTTCGCAGAATCTGCAAGTGGACATTTGGAGCGCTTTCAGGCCTGTGGTGGAAAAGGCCTGAAAGCCTTTTCCTTTATCTTCACAGAAAGACGAGAGAGAAGCATTGTCAGAAACTTCTTTGTGATGATTGCATTCAACTCACAGAGTTGAACATTCCTTTTGAAACAGCAGTTTCGAAACACTCTTTCTGTGGGATCCGCAAGGGGATATTTGGACCTCTTTGAAGGTTTCGTTGGAAACGGGATAATCTTCACCTAAAAGCTAAACGGAAGCATTCTCAGAAACTTCTTTGGGATGTTTGCATTCACCTCACAGAGTTGAACTTTCCCTTTGATAGCGCAGCTTTGACACACTTTTTCTACAATGTGCAAGTGGCTATTTAGCGGGCTTGGAGGACTGTGTTGGAAAAGGAAATATCTTCTCCTAAAAACGACATAGAAGCATTCTCAGAAACTGCTCTGTGATGATTGCATTCAACTCCCAGAGTTGAACATTCCTTTTGATAGAGCAGTTTGCAAACACTCTTTTTGTAGAATCTGCAAGTGGAGATTTGGACCGCTTTGAGGCCTGTGGTAGTGAAGGAAAGAACTTCATATAAAAACCAGACGGTAGCACTCTCAGAAAATTCTTTGTGACGATGGAGTTTAACTCAGGGAGCTGAACATTCGTTATGATGGAGCAGTTTCCAAACACACGTTTTGTAGAATCTGCAAGGGGATATTTGGACCTCTCTGAGGATTTCGTTGGAAACGGGATCAACTTCCCATAACTGAACGGAAGCAAACTCAGAACATTCTTTGTGATGTTTGTATTCAACTCACAGAGTTGAACCTTCCTTTGATAGTTCAGGTTTGCAACACCCTTGTAGTAGAATCTGCAAGTGTATATTTTGACCACTTTGTAGCCTTCATTTGAAACGTCTATATCTTCACATCAAACCTAGACAGAAGCATTCTCAGAAAGTTTTCTGCGATGACTGCATTCAACTCACAGAGTTGAACAATCCTTCTGATGGAGCAGTTTTGAAACCCTCTTTCTTTGGAATCTTCAAGGGGATATGTGGACCTCTTTGAAGATTTCACTGGAAACGGGATCATCTTCACATAAAAACTAAACTGAAGCATTCTCGGAAACTACTTTGTGATGTTTGTATTCAACTGCCAGAGTTGAACTTTCCTTTTGAAAGAGCAGCTATGAAACACTCTTTTTCGAGAATCTGCAAGTGGACGCTTGGAGGGCTTTGAGGCCTGTGGTGGAAAAGGAAATATCTTCACATAAAAACTAGATAGAAGCATTCTCAGAAACGACTTTGTGAGGATGGCATTCAACTCATGGAGTTGAACAATCCTATTGATAGAGCAGATTGGAGTCACTCTTTTTGTAGAATCTGCAAATGGAGATTTGGACTGCTTTGAGGCCTACGGTCGTATAGGAAGGAACTTCATATAAAAGGCAAACGGAAGCATTCTAAGAATATTCTTTATGATGATGGAGTTTCACTCACAGAGCTGAACATGCCTTTTGATGGAGCAGTTTCCAAATACACTTTTGGTAGAATCTGCAGGTGGATATTTGGAGCTCTCTGAGGATTTCGTTGGAAACGGGAATAATTTCCCATAACTAAACACAAACACGCTGAGAAAGTTCTTCATGATGAATGCATTTAACTCGCAGAGATGAACCTGCCTTTGAGAGTTCAGGTTCGAAACACTCCTTCTGTAGAATCTGCAAGTGGATATTTGGACCACTGGCTGGCCTTCGTTCGAAACGGGTATATGTTCACGTAAAAACTAAAGAGAAGCATTCTCAGAAACTTCTGAGTGATGATTGCATTCAAGTCACACGGTTGAACCCTCCTTTTGATGGAGCAGTTTTGAAACTGTCTTTTTGTAGAATCTGTAAGTGGATACGTGGACCTCTTTGAAGATTTCTTTGGAAACGGGAATATTTCCACAGAAAAACTAAACTGAAGCATTCTCAGAAACCGCTTTGTGATGTTTGTGTTCGAGCCACAGAGTTTAACATTGCTTTTCACAAAGCAGTTTTGAAATATTCTTTTGGCAGAATCTGCAAGTGGACATTTGGAGCGCTTTCAGGCCTGTGGTGGCAAAGGCCTGAACGCCTTTTCCTTTATGTTCACAGAAAGACGAGAGAGAAGCATTGTCAGAAACTTCTTTGTGATGATTGCATTCAACTCACAGAGTTGAAGATTCCTTTTGAAACAGCAGTTTCGAAACACTCTTTCTGTGGGATCCGCAAGGGGATATTTGGACCTCTTTGAAGGTTTCGTTGGAAACGGGATAATCCTCACCTAAAAGCTAAACGGAAGCATTCTCAGAAACTTCTTTGGGATGTTTGCATTCACCTCACAGAGTTGAACTTTCCCTTTGATAGCGCAGCTTTGACACACTTTTTCTACAATGTGCAAGTGGCTATTTAGCGGGCTTGGAGGACTGTGTTGGAAAAGGAAATATCTTCTCCTAAAAACGACATAGAAGCATTCTCAGAAACTGCTCTGTGATGATTGCATTCAACTCCCAGAGTTGAACATTCCTTTTGATAGAGCAGTTTGCAAACACTCTTTTTGTAGAATCTGCAAGTGGAGATTTGGACCGCTTTGAGGTCTGTGGTAGTGAAGGAAAGAACTTCATATAAAAACCAGACGGTAGCACTCTCAGAAAATTCTTTGTGACGATGGAGTTTAACTCAGGGAGCTGAACATTCGTTATGATGGAGCAGTTTCCAAACACACGTTTTGTAGAATCTGCAAGGGGATATTTGGACCTCTCTGAGGATTTCGTTGGAAACGGGATCAACTTCCCATAACTGAACGGAAGCAAACTCAGAACATTCTTTGTGACGTTTGTATTCAACTCACAGAGTTGAACCTTCCTTTGATAGTTCAGGTTTGCAACACCCTTGTAGTAGAATCTGCAAGTGTATATTTTGACCACTTTGTAGCCTTCGTTTGAAACGTCTATATCTTCACATCAAACCTAGACAGAAGCATTCTCAGAAAGTTTTCTGCCATGACTGCATTCAACTCACAGAGTTGAACAATCCTTCTGATGGAGCAGTTTTGAAACCCTCTTTCTTTGGAATCTGCAAGGGGATATGTGGACCTCTTTGAAGATTTCACTGGAAACGGGATCATCTTCACATAAAAACTAAACAGAAGCATTCTCGGAAACTATTTTGTGATGTTTGTATTCAACTCCCAGAGTTGAACTTTCCTTTTGAAAGAGCAGCTATGAAACACTCTTTTTCGAGAATCTGCAAGTGGACGTTTGGAGGGCTTTGAGGCCTGTGGTGGAAAAGGAAATATCTTCACACAAAAACCAGATAGAAGCATTCTCAGAAACTACTTTGTGAGGATGGCATTCAACTCATGGAGTTGAACAATCCTATTGATAGAGCAGATTGGAATCACTCTTTTTGTAGAATCTGCAAGTGGAGATTTGGACCGCTTTGAGGTCTGTGGTAGTGAAGGAAAGAACTTCATATAAAAACCAGACGGTAGCACTCTCAGAAAATTCTTTGTGACGATGGAGTTTAACTCAGGGAGCTGAACATTCGTTATGATGGAGCAGTTTCCAAACACACGTTTTGTAGAATCTGCGAGGGGATATTTGGACCTCTCTGAGGATTTCGTTGGAAACGGGATCAACTTCCCATAACTGAACGGAAGCAAACTCAGAACATTCTTTGTGATGTTTGTATTCAACTCACAGAGTTGAACCTTCCTTTGATAGTTCAGGTTTGCAACACCCTTGTAGTAGAATCTGCAAGTGTATATTTTGACCACTTTGTAGCCTTTGTTTGAAACGTCTATATCTTCACATCAAACCTAGACAGAAGCATTCTCAGAAAGTTTTCTGCGATGACTGCATTCAACTCACAGAGTTGAACAATCCTCTGATGGAGCAGTTTTGAAACCCTCTTTCTTTGGAATCTGCAAGGGGATATGTGGACCTCTTTGAAGAATTCACTGGAAACGGGATCATCTTCACATAAAAACTAAACAGAAGCATTCTCGGAAACTACTTTGTGATGTTTGTATTCAACTCCCAGAGTTGAACTTTCCTTTTGAAAGAGCAGCTATGAAACACTCTTTTTCGAGAATCTGCAAGTGGACGTTTTGAGGGCTTTGAGGCCTGTGGTGGAAAAGGAAATATCTTCACATAAAAACTAGATAGAAGCATTCTCAGAAACTACTTTGTGAGGATGGCATTCAACTCATGGAGTTGAACAATCCTATTGATAGAGCAGATTGGAATCACTCTTTTTGTAGAATCTGCAAATGGAGATTTGGACTGCTTTGAGGCCTACGGTAGTATAGGAAGGAACTTCATATAAAAGGCAAACGGAAGCATTCTCAGAATATTCTTTGTGATGATGGAGTTTCACTCACAGAGCTGAACATGCCTTTTGATGGAGCAGTTTCCAAATACACTTTTGGTAGAATCTGCAGGTGGATATTTGGAGCTCTCTGAGGATTTCGTTGGAAACGGGAATAATTTCCCATAACTAAACACAAACACTCTGAGAAAGTTCTTCATGATGAATGCATTTAACTCGCAGAGATGAACCTGCCTTTGAGAGTTCAGGTTCGAAACACTCTTTCTGTAGAATCTGCAAGTGGATATTTGGACCACTGGGTGGACTTCGTTCGAAACGGGTATATGTTCACGTAAAAACTAAAGAGAAGCATTCTCAGAAACTTCTGAGTGATGATTGCATTCAAGTCACACAGTTGAACCCTCCTTTTGATGGAGCAGTTTTGAAACTGTCTTTTTGTAGAATCTGTAAGTGGACACGTGGACCTCTTTGAAGATTTCTTTGGAAACGGGAATATTTCCACAGAAAAACTAAACTGAAGCATTCTCAGAAACTGCTTTGTGATGTTTGTGTTCGAGCCACAGAGTTTAACATTGCTTTTCATAGAGCAGTTTTGCAATATTCTTTTCACAGAATCTGCAAGTGGACATTTGGAGCGCTTTCAGGCCTGTGGTGGAAAAGGCCTGAAAGCCTTTTCCTTTATCTTCACAGAAAGACGAGAGAGAAGCATTGTCAGAAACTTCTTTGTGATGATTGCATTCAACTCACAGAGTTGAAGATTCCTTTTGAAACAGCAGTTTCGAAACACTCTTTCTGTGGGATCCGCAAGGGGATATTTGGACCTCTTTGAAGGTTTCGTTGGAAACGGGATAATCTTCACCTAAAAGCTAAACGGAAGCATTCTCAGAAACTTCTTTGGGATGTTTGCATTCACCTCACAGAGTTCAACTTTCCCTTTGATAGCGCAGCTTTGACACACTTTTTCTACAATGTGCAAGTGGCTATTTAGCGGGCTTGGAGGACTGTGTTGGAAAAGGAAATATCTTCTCCTAAAAACGACATAGAAGCATTCTCAGAAACTGCTCTGTGATGATTGCATTCAACTCCCAGAGTTGAACATTCCTTTTGATAGAGCAGTTTGCAAACACTCTTTTTGTAGAATCTGCAAGTGGAGATTTGGACCGCTTTGAGGCCTGTGGTAGTGAAGGAAAGAACTTCATATAAAAACCAGACGGTAGCACTCTCAGAAAATTCTTTGTGACGATGGAGTTTAACTCAGGGAGCTGAACATTCGTTATGATGGAGCAGTTTCCAAACACACGTTTTGTAGAATCTGCAAGGGGATATTTGGACCTCTCTGAGGATTTCGTTGGAAACGGGATCAACTTCCCATAACTGAACGGAAGCAAACTCAGAACATTCTTTGTGATGTTTGTATTCAACTCACAGAGTTGAACCTTCCTTTGATAGTTCAGGTTTGCAACACCCTTGTAGTAGAATCTGAAAGTGTATATTTTGACCACTTTGTAGCCTTCGTTTGAAACATCTATATCTTCACATCAAACCTAGACAGAAGCATTCTCAGAAAGTTTTCTGCGATGACTGCATTCAACTCACAGAGTTGAACAATCCTTCTGATGGAGCAGTTTTGAAACCCTCTTTCTTTGGAATCTGCAAGGGGATATGTGGACCTCTTTGAAGATTTCACTGGAAACGGGATCATCTTCACATAAAAACTAAACAGAAGCATTCTCGGAAACTACTTTGTGATGTTTGTATTCAACTCCCAGAGTTGAACTTTCCTTTTGAAAGAGCAGCTATGAAACACTCTTTTTCGAGAATCTGCAAGTGGACGTTTGGAGGGCTTTGAGGCCTGTGGTGGAAAAGGAAATATCTTCACATAAAAAACTAGATAGAAGCATTCTTAGAAACGACTTTGTGAGGATGGCATTCAACTCATGGAGTTGAACAATCCTATTGATAGAGCAGATTGGAATCACTCTTTTTGTAGAATCTGCAAATGGAGATTTGGACTGCTTTGAGGCCTACGGTCGTATAGGAAGGAACTGCATATAAAAGGCAAACGGAAGCATTCTCAGAATATTCTTTGTGATGATGGAGTTTCACTCACAGAGCTGAACATGCCTTTTGATGGAGCAGTTTCCAAATACACTTTTGGTAGAATCTGCAGGTGGATATTTGGACCTCTCTGAGGATTTCGTTGGAAACGGGAATAATTTCCCATAACTAAACACAAACACTCTGAGAAAGTTCTTCATGATGAATGCATTTAACTCGCAGAGATGAACCTGCCTTTGAGAGTTCAGGTTCGAAACACTCTTTCTGTAGAATCTGCAAGTGGATATTTGGACCACTGGCTGGCCTTCGTTCGAAACGGGTATATGTTCACGTAAAAACTAAAGAGAAGCATTCTCAGAAACTTGTGAGTGATGATTGCATTCAAGTCACACAGTTGAACCCTCCTTTTGATGGAGCAGTTTTGAAACTGTCTTTTTGTAGAATCTGTAAGTGGATACGTGGACCTCTTTGAAGATTTCTTTGGAAACGGGAATATTTCCACAGAAAAACTAAACTGAAGCATTCTCAGAAACCGCTTTTTGATGTTTGTGTTCGAGCCACAGAGTTTAACATTGCTTTTCATAGAGCAGTTTTGAAATATTCTTTTCGCAGAATCTGCAAGTGGACATTTGGAGCGCTTTCAGGCCTGTGGTGGAAAAGGCCTGAAAGCCTTTTCCTTTATCTTCACAGAAAGACGAGAGAGAAGCATTGTCAGAAACTTCTTTGTGATGATTGCATTCAACTCACAGAGTTGAAGATTCCTTTTGAAACAGCAGTTTCGAAACACTCTTTCTGTGGGATCCGCAAGGGGATATTTGGACCTCTTTGAAGGTTTCGTTGGAAACGGGATAATCTTCACCTAAAAGCTAAACGGAAGCATTCTCAGAAACTTCTTTGGGATGTTTGCATTCACCTCACAGAGTTGAACTTTCCCTTTGATAGCGCAGCTTTGACACACATTTTCTACAATGTGCAAGTGGCTATTTAGCGGGCTTGGAGGACTGTGTTGGAAAAGGAAATATCTTCTCCTAAAAACGACATAGAAGCATTCTCAGAAACTGCTCTGTGATGATTGCATTCAACTCCCAGAGTTGAACATTCCTTTTGATAGAGCAGTTTGCAAACACTCTTTTTGTAGAATCTGCAAGTGGAGATTTGGACCGCTTTGAGGCCTGTGGTAGTGAAGGAAAGAGCTTCATATAAAAACCAGACGGTAGCACTCTCAGAAAATTCTTTGTGACGATGGAGTTTAACTCAGGGAGCTGAACATTCGTTATGATGGAGCAGTTTCCAAACACACGTTTTGTAGAATCTGCAAGGGGATATTTGGACCTCTCTGAGGATTTCGTTGGAAACGGGATCAACTTCCCATAACTGAACGGAAGCAAACTCAGAACATTCTTTGTGATGTTTGTATTCAACTCACAGAGTTGAACCTTCCTTTGATAGTTCAGGTTTGCAACACCCTTGTAGTAGAATCTGCAAATGTATATTTTGACCACTTTGTAGCCTTCGTTTGAAACGTCTATATCTTCACATCAAACCTAGACAGAAGCATTCTCAGAAAGTTTTCTGCGATGACTGCATTCAACTCACAGAGTTGAACAATCCTTCTGATGGAGCAGTTTTGAAACCCTCTTTCTTTGGAATCTGCAAGGGGATATGTGGACCTCTTTGAAGATTTCACTGGAAACGGGATCATCTTCACATAAAAACTAAACAGAAGCATTCTCGGAAACTACTTTGTGATGTTTGTATTCAACTCCCAGAGTTGAACTTTCCTTTTGAAAGAGCAGCTATGAAACACTCTTTTTCGAGAATCTGCAAGTGGACGTTTGGAGGGCTTTGAGGCCTGTGGTGGAAAAGGAAATATCTTCACATAAAAACTAGATAGAAGCATTCTCAGAAACGACTTTGTGAGGATGGCATTCAACTCATGGAGTTGAACAATCCTATTGATAGAGCAGATTGGAATCACTCTTTTTGTAGAATCTGCAAATGGAGATTTGGACTGCTTTGAGGCCTACGGTCGTATAGGAAGGAACTTCATATAAAAGGCAAACGGAAGCATTCTCAGAATATTCTTTGTGATGATGGAGTTTCACTCACAGAGCTGAATATGCCTTTTGATGGAGCAGTTTCCAAATACACTTTTGGTAGAATCTGCAGGTGGATATTTGGAGCTCTCTGAGGATTTCGTTGGAAACGGGAATAATTTCCCATAACTAAACACAAACACTCTGAGAAAGTTCTTCATGATGAATGCATTTAACTCGCAGAGATGAACCTGCCTTTGAGAGTTCAGGTTCGAAACACTCTTTCTGTAGAATCTGCAAGTGGATATTTGGACCACTGGCTGGCCTTCGTTCGAAACGGGTATATGTTCACGTAAAAACTAAAGAGAAGCATTCTCAGAAACTTCTGAGTGATGATTACATTCAAGTCACACAGTTGAACCCTCCTTTTGATGGAGCAGTTTTGAAACTGTCTTTTTGTAGAATCTGTAAGTGGATACGTGGACCTCTTTGAATATTTCTTTGGAAACGGGAATATTTCCACAGAAAAACTAAACTGAAGCATTCTCAGAAACTGCTTTGTGATGTTTGTGTTCGAGCCACAGAGTTTAACATTGCTTTTCATAGAGCAGTTTTGAAATATTCTTTTGGCAGAATCTGCAAGTGGACATTTGGAGCGCTTTCAGGCCTGTGGTGGAAAAGGCCTGAAAGCCTTTTCCTTTATCTTCACAGAAAGACGAGAGAGAAGCATTGTCAGAAACTTCTTTGTGATGATTGCATTCAACTCACAGAGTTGAAGATTCCTTTTGAAACAGCAGTTTCGAAACACTCTTTCTGTGGGATCCGCAAGGGGATATTTGGACCTCTTTGAAGGTTTCGTTGGAAACGGGATAATCTTCACCTAAAAGCTAAACGGAAGCATTCTCAGAAACTTCTTTGGGATGTTTGCATTCACCTCACAGAGTTGAACTTTCCCTTTGATAGCGCAGCTTTGACACACTTTTTCTACAATGTGCAAGTGGCTATTTAGCGGGCTTGGAGGACTGTGTTGGAAAACGAAATATCTTCTCCTAAAAACGACATAGAAGCATTCTCAGAAACTGCTCTGTGATGATTGCATTCAACTCCCAGAGTTGAACATTCCTTTTGATAGAGCAGTTTGCAAACACTCTTTTTGTAGAATCTGCAAGTGGAGATTTGGACCGCTTTGAGGCCTGTGGTAGGGAAGGAAAGAACTTCATATAAAAACCAGACGGTAGCACTCTCAGAAAATTCTTTGTGACGATGGAGTTTAACTCAGGGAGCTGAACATTCCTTATGATGGAGCAGTTTCCAAACACACGTTTTGTAGAATCTGCGAGGGGATATTTGGACCTCTCTGAGGATTTCGTTGGAAACGGGATCAACTTCCCATAACTGAACGGAAGCAAACTCAGAACATTCTTTGTGATGTTTGTATTCAACTCACAGAGTTGAACCTTCCTTTGATAGTTCAGGTTTGCAACACCCTTGTAGTAGAATCTGCAAGTGTATATTTTGACCACTTTGTAGCCTTCGTTTGAAACGTCTATATCTTCACATCAAACCTAGACAGACTGGGTACGGTGGCTCACACCTCTAATCCCAGTGCTTCGGGAGGCTTAGGTGGGAGGATCACTTGAGCCCAGAAGTTCGTGGCTGCAGTGAGCTATGATGGCGCCACTGTACTCTAGCATGGGCAAATGAGCAAGAACCTATCCCTACTAAAAGGAAAGGAAAGGAGAGGAGGGGGCTCCATCAAAAGGATTGTTCAACTCTGTGAGTTGAATGCAGTCATCGCAGAAAACTTTCTGAGAATGCTTC
>NC_000023.11:62068100-62107293 GCF_000001405.40 Homo sapiens
AGCAAACTCAGAACATTCTTTGTGATGTTTGTATTCAACTCACAGAGTTGAACCTTCCTTTGATAGTTCAGGTTTGCAACACCCTTGTAGTAGAATCTGCAAGTGTATATTTTGACCACTTTGTAGCCTTCGTTTGAAACGTCTATATCTTCACATCAAACCTAGACAGAAGCATTCTCAGAAAGTTTTCTGCGATGACTGCATTCAACTCACAGAGTTGAACAATCCTTCTGATGGAGCAGTTTTTAAACCCTCTTTCTTTGGAATCTGCAAGGGGATATGTGGACCTCTTTGAAGATTTCACTGGAAACGGGATCATCTTCACATAAAAACTAAACAGAAGCATTCTCGGAAACTATTTTGTGATGTTTGTATTCAACTCCCAGAGTTGAACTTTCCTTTTGAAAGAGCAGCTATGAAACACTCTTTTTCGAGAATCTGCAAGTGGACGTTTGGAGGGCTTGGAGGCCTGTGGTGGAAAAGGAAATACCTTCACATAAAAACTAGATAGAAGCATTCTCAGAAACTACTTTGTGAGGATGGCATTCAACTCATGGAGTTGAACAATCCTATTGATAGAGCAGATTGGAATCACTCTTTTTGTAGAATCTGCAAATGGAGATTTGGACTGCTTTGAGGCCTACGGTCGTATAGGAAGGAACTTCATATAAAAGGCAAACGGAAGCATTCTCAGAATATTCTTTGTGATGATGGAGTTTCACTCACAGAGCTGAACATGCCTTTTGATGGAGCAGTTTCCAAATACACTTTTGGTAGAATCTGCAGGTGGATATTTGGACCACTCTGAGGATTTCGTTGGAAACGGGAATAATTTCCCATAACTAAACACAAACACTCTGAGAAAGTTCTTCATGATGAATGCATTTAACTCGCAGAGATGAACCTGCCTTTGAGAGTTCAGGTTCGAAACACTCTTTCTGTAGAATCTGCAAGTGGATATTTGGACCACTGGGTGGCCTTCGTTCGAAACGGGTATATGTTCACGTAAAAACTAAAGAGAAGCATTCTCAGAAACTTCTGAGTGATGATTGCATTCAAGTCACACAGTTGAACCCTCCTTTTGATGGAGCAGTTTTGAAACTGTCTTTTTGTAGAATCTGTAAGTGGATACGTGGACCTCTTTGAAGATTTCTTTGGAAACGGGAATATTTCCACAGAAAAACTAAACTGAAGCATTCTCAGAAACCGCTTTGTGATGTTTGTGTTTGAGCCGCAGAGTTTAACATTGCTTTTCATAGAGCAGTTTTGAAATATTCTTTTGGCAGAATCTGCAAGTGGACATTTGGAGCGCTTTCAGGCCTGTGGTGGAAAAGGCCTGAAAGCCTTTTCCTTTATCTTCACAGAAAGACGAGAGAGAAGCATTGTCAGAAACTTCTTTGTGATGATTGCATTCAACTCACAGAGTTGAAGATTCCTTTTGAAACAGCAGTTTCGAAACACTCTTTCTGTGGGATCCGCAAGGGGATATTTGGACCTCTTTGAAGGTTTCGTTGGAAACGGGATAATCTTCACCTAAAAGCTAAACGGAAGCATTCTCAGAAACTTCTTTGGGATGTTTGCATTCACCTCACAGAGTTGAACTTTCCCTTTGATAGCGCAGCTTCGACACACTTTTTCTAAAGTGTGCAAGTGGACATTTAGCGGGCTTGGAGGACTGTGTTGGAAAAGGAAATATCTTCTCCTAAAAACGACATAGAAGCATTCTCAGAAACTGCTCTGTGATGATTGCATTCAACTCCCAGAGTTGAACATTCCTTTTGATAGAGCAGTTTGCAAACACTGTTTTTGTAGAATCTGCAAGTGGAGATTTGGACCGCTTTGAGGCCTGTGGTAGTAAAGGAAAGAACTTCATATAAAAACTAGACGGTAGCACTCTCAGAAAATTCTTTGTGACGATGGAGTTTAACTCAGAGAGCTGAACATTCGTTATGATGGAGCAGTTTCCAAACACACGTTTTGTAGAATCTGCAAGGGGATATTTGGACCTCTCTGAGGATTTCGTTGGAAACGGGATCAACTTCCCATAACTGAACGGTAGCAAACTCAGAACATTCTTTGTGATGTTTGTATTCAACTCACAGAGTTGAACCTTCCTTTGATAGTTCAGGTTTGCAACACCCTTGTAGTAGAATCTGCAAGTGTATATTTTGACCACTTTGTAGCCTTCGTTTGAAACGTCTATATCTTCACATCAAACCTAGACAGAAGCATTCTCAGAAAGTTTTCTGCGATGACTGCATTCAACTCACAGAGTTGAACAATCCTTCTGATGGAGCAGTTTTGAAACCCTCTTTCTTTGGAATCTGCAAGGGGATATGTGGACCTCTTTGAAAGATTTCACTGGAAACGGGATCATCTTCACATAAAAACTAAACAGAAGCATTCTCGGAAACTACTTTGTGATGTTTGTATTCAACTCCCAGAGTTGAACTTTCCTTTTGAAAGAGCAGCTATGAAACACTCTTTTTCGAGAATCTGCAAGTGGACGTTTGGAGGGCTTTGAGGCCTGTGGTGGAAAAGGAAATATCTTCACATAAAAACTAGATAGAAGCATTCTCAGAAACGACTTTGTGAGGATGGCATTCAACTCATGGAGTTGAACAATCCTATTGATAGAGCAGATTGGAATCACTCTTTTTGTAGAATCTGCAAATGGAGATTTGGACTGCTTTGAGGCCTACGGTCGTATAGGAAAGAACTTCATATAAAAGGCAAACGGAAGCATTCTCAGAATATTCTTTGTGATGATGGAGTTTCACTCACAGAGCTGAACATGCCTTTTGATGGAGCAGTTTCCAAATACACTTTTGGTAGAATCTGCAGGTGGATATTTGGAGCTCTCTGAGGATTTCGTTGGAAACGGGAATAATTTCCCATAACTAAACACAAACACTCTGAGAAAGTTCTTCATGATGAATGCATTTAACTCGCAGAGATGAACCTTCCTTTGAGAGTTCAGGTTCGAAACACTCTTTCTGTATAATCTGCAAGTGGATATTTGGACCACTGGGTGGCCTTCGTTCGAAACGGGTATATGTTCACGTAAAAACTAAAGAGAAGCATTCTCAGAAACTTCTGAGTGATGATTGCATTCAAGTCACACAGTTGAACCCTCCTTTTGATGGAGCAGTTTTGAAACTGTCTTTTTGTAGAATCTGTAAGTGGATACGTGGACCTCTTTGAAGATTTCTTTGGAAACGGGAATATTTCCACAGAAAAACTAAACTGAAGCATTCTCAGAAACTGCTTTGTGATGTTTGTGTTCGAGCCGCAGAGTTTAACATTGCTTTTCATAGAGCAGTTTTGAAATATTCTTTTGGCAGAATCTGCAAGTGGACATTTGGAGAGCTTTCAGGCCTGTGGTGGAAAAGGCCTGAAAGCCTTTTCCTTTATCTTCACAGAAGGACGAGAGAGAAGCATTGTCGGAAACTTCTTTGTGATGATTGCAATCAACTCACAGAGTTGAAGATTCCTTTTGAAACAGCAGTTTCGAAACACTCTTTCTGTGGCATCCGCAAGGGGATATTTGGACCTCTTTGAAGATTTTGTTGGAAACGGGATAATCTTCACCTAAAAGCTAAACGGAAGCATTCTCAGAAACTTCTTTGGGATGTTTGCATTCACCTCACAGAGTTGAACTTTCCCTTTGATAGCGCAGCTTCGACACACTTTTTCTACAATGTGCAAGTGGCTATTTAGCGGGCTTGGAGGACTGTGTTGGAAAAGGAAATATCTTCTCCTAAAAACGACATAGAAGCATTCTCAGAAACTGCTCTGTGATGATTGCATTCAACTCCCAGAGTTGAACATTCCTTTTGATAGAGCAGTTTGCAAACACTCTTTTTGTAGAATCTGCAAGTGGAGATTTGGACCGCTTTGAGGCCTGTGGTAGTGAAGGAAAGAACTTCATATAAAAACCAGACGGTAGCACTCTCAGAAAATTCTTTGTGACGATGGAGTTTAACTCAGGGAGCTGAACATTCGTTATGATGGAGCAGTTTCCAAACACACGTTTTGTAGAATCTGCAAGGGGATATTTGGACCTCTCTGAGGATTTCGTTGGAAACGGGATCAACTTCCCATAACTGAACGGAAGCAAACTCAGAACATTCTTTGCGATGTTTGTATTCAACCCACAGAGTTGAACCTTCCTTTGATAGTTCAGGTTTGCAACACCCTTGTAGTAGAATCTGTAAGTGTATATTTTGACCACTTTGTAGCCTTCGTTTTAAACGTCTATAACTTCACATCAAACCTAGACAGAAGCATTCTCAGAAAGTTTTCTGCGATGACTGCATTCAACTCACAGAGTTGAACAATCCTTTTGATGGAGCAGTTTTGAAACCCTGTTTCTTTGGAATCTGCAAGGGGATATGTGGACCTCTTTGAAGATTTCACTGGAAACGGGATCATCTTCACATAAGAACTAAACAGAAGCATTCTCGGAAACTACTTTGTGATGTTTGTATTCAACTCCCAGAGTTGAACTTTCCTTTTGAAAGAGCAGCTATGAAACACTCTTTTTCGAGAATCTGCAAGTGGACGTTTGGAGGGCTTTGAGGCCTGTGGTGGAAAAGGAAATATCTTCACATAAAAACTAGATAGAAGCATTCTCAGAAACTACTTTGTGAGGATGGCATTCAACTCATGGAGTTGAACAATCCTATTGATAGAGCAGATTGGAATCACTCTTTTTGTAGAATCTGCAAATGGAGATTTGGACTGCTTTGAGGCCTACGGTAGTACAGGAAGGAACTTCATATAAAAGGCAAACGGAAGCATTCTCAGAATATTCTTTGTGATGATGGAGTTTCACTCACAGAGCTGAACATGCCTTTTGATGGAGCAGTTTCCAACTACACTTTTGGTAGAAACTGCAGGTGGATATTTGGAGCTCTCTGAGGATTTCGTTGGAAACGGGAATAATTTCCCATAACTAAACACAAACACTCTGAGAAAGTTCTTCATGATGAATGCATTTAACTCGCAGAGATGAACCTGCCTTTGAGAGTTCAGGTTCGAAACACTCTTTCTGTAGAATCTGCAAGTGGATATTTGGACCACTGGGTGGCCTTCGTTCAAAACGGGTATATGTTCACGTAAAAACTAAAGAGAAGCATTCTCAGAAACTTCTGAGTGATGATTGCATTCAAGTCACACAGTTGAACCCTCCTTTTGATGGAGCAGTTTTGAAACTGTCTTTTTGTAGAATCTGTAAGTGGATACGTGGACCTCTTTGAAGATTTCTTTGGAAACGGGAATATTTCCACAGAAAAACTAAACTGAAGCATTCTCAGAAACTGCTTTGTGATGTTTGTGTTCGAGCCACAGAGTTTAACATTGCTTTTCATAGAGCAGTTTTGAAATATTCTTTTGGCAGAATCTGCAAGTGGACATTTGGAGCGCTTTCAGGCCTGTGGTTGGGAAAAGGCCTGAAAGCCTTTTCCTTTATCTTCACAGAAAGACGAGAGAGAAGCATTGTCAGAAACTTCTTTGTGATGATTGCATTCAACTCACAGAGTTGAAGATTCCTTTTGAAACAGCAGTTTCGAAACACTCTTTCTGTGGGATCCGCAAGGGGATATTTGGACCTCTTTGAAGGTTTCGTTGGAAACGGGATAATCTTCACCTAAAAGCTAAACGGAAGCATTCTCAGAAACTTCTTTGGGATGTTTGCATTCACCTCACAGAGTTGAACTTTCCCTTTGATAGCGCAGCTTTGACACACTTTTTCTACAATGTGCAAGTGGCTATTTAGCGGGCTTGGAGGACTGTGTTGGAAAAGGAAATATCTTCTCCTAAAAACGACATAGAAGCATTCTCAGCAAACTGCTCTGTGATGATTGCATTCAACTCCCAGGAGTTGAACATTCCTTTTGATAGAGCAGTTTGCAAACACTCTTTTTGTAGAATCTGCAAGTGGAGATTTGGACCGCTTTGAGGCCTGTGGTAGTAAAGGAAAGAACTTCATATAAAAACTAGACGGTAGCACTCTCAGAAAATTCTTTGTGACGATGGAGTTTAACTCAGAGAGCTGAACATTCGTTATGATGGAGCAGTTTCCAAACACACGTTTTGCAGAATCTGCAAGGGGATATTTGGACCTCTCTGAGGATTTCGTTGGAAACGGGATCAACTTCCCATAACTGAACGGAAGCAAACTCAGAACATTCTTTGTGATGTTTGTATTCAACTCACAGAGTTGAACCTTCCTTTGATAGTTCAGGTTTGCAACACCCTTGTAGTAGAATCTGCAAGTGTATATTTTGACCACTTTGTAGCCTTCGTTTGAAACGTCTATATCTTCACATCAAACCTAGAAAGAAGCATTCTCAGAAAGTTTTCTGCGATGACTGCATACAACTCATAGAGTTGAGTAATCCTTTTGATGGAGCAGTTTTGAAACCCTCTTTCTTTGGAATCTGCAAGGGGATATGTGGACCTCTTTCAAGATTTCACTGGAAACGGGATCATCTTCACATAAGAACTAAACAGAAGCATTCTCGGAAACTACTTTGTGATGTTTGTATTCAACTCCCAGAGTTGAACTTTCCTTTTGAAAGAGCAGCTATGAAACACTCTTTTTCGAGAATCTGCAAGTGGACGTTTGGAGGGCTTTGAGGCCTGTGGTGGAAAAGGAAATATCTTCACATAAAAACTAGATAGAAGCATTCTCAGAAACGACTTTGTGAGGATGGCATTCAACTCATGGAGTTGAACAATCCTATTGATAGAGCAGATTGGAATCACTCTTTTTGTAGAATCTGCAAATGGAGATTTGGACTGCTTTGAGGCCTACGGTCGTATAGGAAGGAACTTCATATAAAAGGCAAACGGAAGCATTCTCAGAATATTCTTTGTGATGATGGAGTTTCACTCACAGAGCTGAACATGCCTGTTGATGGAGCAGTTTCCAAATACACTTTTGGTAGAATCTGCAGGTGGACATTTGGACCTCTCTGAGGATTTCTTTGGGAAAGGGAATAATTTCCCATAACTAAACACAAACACTCTGAGAAAGTTCTTCATGATGAATGCATTTAACTCGCAGAGATGAACCTGCCTTTGAGAGTTCAGGTTCGAAACACTCTTTCTGTAGAATCTGCAAGTGGATATTTGGACCACTGGGTGGCCTTCGTTCGAAACGGGTATATGTTCACGTAAAAACTAAAGAGAAGCATTCTCAGAAACTTCTGAGTGATGATTGCATTCAAGTCACACAGTTGAACCCTCCTTTTGATTGAGCAGTTTTGAAACTGTCTTTTTGTAGAATCTGTAAGTGGATACGTGGACCTCTTTGAAGATTTCTTTGGAAACGGGAATATTTCCACAGAAAAACTAAACTGAAGCATTCTCAGAAACTGTTTTGTGATGTTTGTGTTCGAGCCGCAGAGTTTAACATTGCTTTTCATAGAGCAGTTTTGAAATATTCTTTTGGCAGAATCTGCAAGTGGACATTTGGAGCGCTTTCAGGCCTGTGGTGGAAAAGACCTGAAAGCCTTTTCCTTTATCTTCACAGAAAGACGAGAGAGAAGCATTGTCAGAAACTTCTTTGTGATGATTGCATTCAACTCACAGAGTTGAAGATTCCTTTTGAAACAGCAGTTTCGAAACACTCTTTCTGTGGGATCCGCAAGGGGATATTTGGACCTCTTTGAAGGTTTCGTTGGAAACGGGATAATCTTCACCTAAAAGCTAAACGGAAGCATTCTCAGAAACTTCTTTGGGATGTTTGCATTCACCTCACAGAGTTGAACTTTCCCTTTGATAGCGCAGCTTCGACCCACTTTTTCTACAATGTGCAAGTGGATATTTAGCGGGCTTGGAGGACTGTGTTGGAAAAGGAAATATCTTCTCCTAAAAACAACATAGAAGCATTCTCAGGAACTGCTCTGTGATGATTGCATTCAACTCCCAGAGTTGAACATTCCTTTTGATAGAGCAGTTTGCAAACACTCTTTTTGTAGAATCTGCAAGTGGAGATTTGGACCGCTTTGAGGCCTGTGGTAGTAAAGGAAAGAACTTCATATAAAAACTAGACGGTAGCACTCTCAGAAAATTCTTTGTGACGATGGAGTTTAACTCAGAGAGCTGAACATTCGTTATGATGGAGCAGTTTCCAAACACACGTTTTGCAGAATCTGCAAGGGGATATTTGGACCTCTCTGAGGATTTCGTTGGAAACGGGATCAACTTCCCATAAGTGAACGGAAGCAAACTCAGAACATTCTTTGTGATGTTTGTATTCAACTCACAGAGTTGAACCTTCCTTTGATAGTTCAGGTTTGCAACACCCTTGTAGTAGAATCTGCAAGTGTATATTTTGACCACTTTGTAGCCTTCGTTTGAAACGTCTATATCTTCACATCAAACCTAGACAGAAGCATTCTCAGAAAGTTTTCTGCGATGACTGCATTCTACTCACAGAGTTGAGCAATCCTTTTGATGGAGCAGTTTTGAAACCCACTTTCTTTGGAATCTGCAAGGGCATATGTGGACCTCTTTGAAGATTTCACTGGAAACGGGATCATCTTCACATAAGAACTAAACAGAAGCATTCTCGGAAACTACTTTGTGATGTTTGTATTCAACTCCCAGAGTTGAACTTTCCTTTTGAAAGAGCAGCTATGAAACACTCTTTTTCGAGAATCTGCAAGTGGACGTTTGGAAGGCTTTGAGGCCTGTGGTGGAAAAGGAAATATCTTCACATAAAAACTAGATAGAAGCATTCTCAGAAACGACTTTGTGAGGATGGCATTCAACTCATGGAGTTGAACAATCCTATTGATAGAGCAGATTGGAATCACTCTTTTTGTAGAATCTGCAAATGGAGATTTGGACTGCTTTGAGGCCTACGGTCGTATAGGAAGGAACTTCATATAAAAGGCAAACGGAAGCATTCTCAGAATATTCTTTGTGATGATGGAGTTTCACTCACAGAGCTGAACATGCCTTTTGATGGAGCAGTTTCCAAATACACTTTTGGTAGAATCTGCAGGTGGATATTTGGACCTCTCTGAGGATTTCGTTGGAAACGGCAATAATTTCCCATACCTAAACACAAACACTCTGAGAAAGTTCTTCATGATGAATGCATTGAACTCGCAGAGATGAACCTGCCTTTGAGAGTTCAGGTTCGAAACACTCTTTCTGTAGAATCTGCAAGTGGATATTTGGACCACTGGGTGGCCTTCGTTCGAAACGGGTATATGTTCACGTAAAAACTAAAGAGAAGCATTCTCAGAAACTTCTGAGTGATGATTGCATTCAAGTCACACAGTTGAACCCTCCTTTTGATGGAGCAGTTTTGAAACTGTCTTTTTGTAGAATCTGTAAGTGGATACGTGGACCTCTTTGAAGATTTCTTTGGAAACGGGAATATTTCCACAGAAAAACTAAACTGAAGCATTCTCAGAAACTGCTTTGTGATGTTTGTGTTCGAGCCACAGAGTTTAACATTGCTTTTCATAGAGCAGTTTTGAAATATTCTTTTGGCAGAATCTGCAAGTGGACATTTGGAGCGCTTTCAGGCCTGTGGTGGAAAAGGCCTGAAAGCCTTTTCCTTTATCTTCACAGAAAGACGAGAGGGAAGCATTGTCAGAAACTTCTTTGTGATGATTGCATTCAACTCACAGAGTTGAAGATTCCTTTTGAAACAGCAGTTTCGAAACACTCTTTCTGTGGGATCCGCAAGGGGATATTTGGACCTCTTTGAAGGTTTCGTTGGAAACGGGATAATCTTCACCTAAAAGCTAAACGGAAGCATTCTCAGAAACTGCTTTGTGATGTTTGCATTCACCTGACAGAGTTGAACTTTCCCTTTGATAGCGCAGCTTTGACACACTTTTTCTACAATGTGCAAGTGGCTATTTAGCGGGCTTGGAGGACTGTGTTGGAAAAGGAAATATCTTCTCCTAAAAACGACATAGAAGCATTCTCAGAAACTGCTCTGTGATGATTGCATTCAACTCCCAGAGTTGAACATTCCTTTTGATAGAGCAGTTTGCAAACACTCTTTTTGTAGAATCTGCAAGTGGAGATTTGGACCGCTTTGAGGCCTGTGGTAGTGAAGGAAAGAACTTCATATAAAAACCAGACGGTAGCACTCTCAGAAAATTCTTTGTGACGATGGAGTTTAACTCAGGGAGCTGAACATTCGTTATGATGGAGCAGTTTCCAAACACACGTTTTGTAGAATCTGCGAGGGGATATTTCGACCTCTCTGAGGATTTCGTTGGAAACGGGATCAACTTCCCATAACTGAACGGAAGCAAACTCAGAACATTCTTTGTGATGTTTGTATTCAACTCACAGAGTTGAACCTTCCTTTGATAGTTGAGGTTTGCAACACCCTTGTAGTAGAATCTGCAAGTGTATATTTTGACCACTTTGTAGCCTTCGTTTGAAACGTCTATATCTTCACCTCAAACCTAGACAGAAGCATTCTCAGAAAGTTTTCTGCGATGACTGCATTCAACTCACAGAGTTGAACAATCCTTCTGATGGAGCAGTTTTGAAACCCTCTTTCTTTGGAATCTGCAAGGGGATATGTGGACCTCTTTGAAGATTTCACTGGAAACGGGATCATCTTCACATAAAAACTAAACAGAAGCATTCTCGGAAACTACTTTGTGATGTTTGTATTCAACTCCCAGAGTTGAACTTTCCTTTTGAAAGAGCAGCTATGAAACACTCCTTTTCGAGAATCTGCAAGTGGACGTTTGGAGGGCTTTGAGGCCTGTGGTGGAAAAGGAAATATCTTCACATAAAAACTAGATAGAAGCATTCTCAGAAACGACTTTGTGAGGATGGCATTCAACTCATGGAGTTGAACAATCCTATTGATAGAGCAGATTGGAATCACTCTTTTTGTAGAATCTGCAAATGGAGATTTGGACTGCTTTGAGGCCTACGGTCGTATAGGAAGGAACTTCATATAAAAGGCAAACGGAAGCATTCTCAGAATATTCTTTGTGATGATGGAGTTTCACTCACAGAGCTGAACATGCCTTTTGATGGAGCAGTTTCCAAATACACTTTTGGTAGAATCTGCAGGTGGATATTTGGAGCTCTCTGAGGATTTCGTTGGAAACGGGAATAATTTCCCATAACTAAACACAAACACTCTGAGAAAGTTCTTCATGATGAATGCATTGAACTCGCAGAGATGAACCTGCCTTTGAGAGTTCAGGTTCGAAACACTCTTTCTGTAGAATCTGCAAGTGGATATTTGGACCACTGGGTGGCCTTCGTTCAAAACGGGTATATGTTCACGTAAAAACTAAAGAGAAGCATTCTCAGAAACTTCTGAGTGATGATTGCATTCAAGTCACACAGTTGAACCCTCCTTTTGATGGAGCAGTTTTGAAACTGTCTTTTTGTAGAATCTGTAAGTGGATACGTGGACCTCTTTGAAGATTTCTTTGGAAACGGGAATATTTCCACAGAAAAACTAAACTGAAGCATTCTCAGAAACCGCTTTGTGATGTTTGTGTTCGAGCCACAGAGTTTAACATTGCTTTTCACAAAGCAGTTTTGAAATATTCTTTTGGCAGAATCTGCAAGTGGACATTTGGAGCGCTTTCAGGCCTGTGGTGGCAAAGGCCTGAAAGCATTTATTTATCTTCACAGAAAGACGAGAGAGAAGCATTGTCAGAAACTTCTTTGTGATGATTGCATTCAACTCACAGAGTTGAAGATTCCTTTTGAAACAGCAGTTTCGAAACACTCTTTCTGTGGGATCCGCAAGGGGATATTTGGACCTCTTTGAAGGTTTCGTTGGAAACGGGATAATCTTCACCTAAAAGCTAAACGGAAGCATTCTCAGAAACTTCTTTGGGATGTTTGCATTCACCTCACAGAGTTGAACTTTCCCTTTGATAGCGCAGCTTTGACACACTTTTTCTACAATGTGCAAGTGGCTATTTAGCGGGCTTGGAGGATTGTGTTGGAAAAGGAAATATCTTCTCCTAAAAACGACATAGAAGCATTCTCAGAAACTGCTCTGTGATGATTGCATTCAACTCCCAGAGTTGAACATTCCTTTTGATAGAGCAGTTTGCAAACACTCTTTTTGTAGAATCTGCAAGTGGAGACTTGGACCGCTTTGAGGCCTGTGGTAGTGAAGGAAAGAACTTCATATAAAAACCATACGGTAGCACTCTCAGAAAATTCTTTGTGACGATGGAGTTTAACTCAGGGAGCTGAACATTCGTTATGATGGAGCAGTTTCCAAACACACGTTTTGAAGAATCTGCAAGGGGATATTTGGACCTCTCTGAGGATTTCGTTGTAAACGGGATCAACTTCCCATAACTGAACGGAAGCAAACTCAGAACATTCTTTGCGATGTTTGTATTCAACCCACAGAGTTGAACCTTCCTTTGATAGTTCAGGTTTGCAACACCCTTGTAGTAGAATCTGTAAGTGTATATTTTGACCACTTTGTAGCCTTCGTTTTAAACGTCTATAACTTCACATCAAACCTAGACAGAAGCATTCTCAGAAAGTTTTCTGCGATGACTGCATTCAACTCACAGAGTTGAACAATCCTTCTGATGGAGCAGTTTTGAAACCCTCTTTCTTTGGAATCTGCAAGGGGATATGTGGACCTCTTTGAAGATTTCACTGGAAACGGGATCATCTTCACATAAAAACTAAACAGAAGCATTCTCGGAAACTACTTTGTGATGTTTGTATTCAACTCCCAGAGTTGAACTTTCCTTTTGAAAGAGCAGCTATGAAACACTCTTTTTCGGGAATCTGCAAGTGGACGTTTGGAGGGCTTTGAGGCCTGTGGTGGAAAAGGAAATATCTTCACTTAAAAAGTACATAGAAGCATTCTCAGAAACTACTTTGTGAGGATGGCATTCAACTCATGGAGTTGAACAATCCTATTGATAGAGCAGATTGGAATCACTCTTTTTGTAGAATCTGCAAATGGAGATTTGGACTGCTTTGAGGCCTACAGTAGTACAGGAAGGAACTTCATATAAAAGGCAAACGGAAGCATTCTCAGAATATTCTTTGTGATGATGGAGTTTCACTCACAGAGCTGAACATGCCTTTTGATGGAGCAGTTTCCAAATACACTTTTGGTAGAATCTGCAGGTGGATATTTGGAGCTCTCTGAGGATTTCTTTGGAAACGGGAATAATTTCCCATAACTAAACACAAATACTCTGAGAAAGTTCTTCATGATGAATGCATTTAACTCGCAGAGATGAACCTTCCTTTGAGAGTTCAGGTTCGAAACACTCTTTCTGTAGAATCTGCAAGTGGATATTTGGACCACTGGGTGGCCTTCGTTCGAAACGGGTATATGTTCACGTAAAAACTAAAGAGAAGCATTCTCAGAAACTTCTGAGTGATGATTGCATTCAAGTCACACGGTTGAACCCTCCTTTTGATGGAGCAGTTTTGAAACTGTCTTTTTGTAGAATCTGTAAGTGGATACGTGGACCTCTTTGAAGATTTCTTTGGAAACGGGAATATTTCCACAGAAAAACTAAACTGAAGCATTCTCAGAAACCGCTTTGTGATGTTTGTGTTCGAGCCACAGAGTTTAACATTGCTTTTCATAGAGCAGTTTTGAAATATTCTTTTCACAGAATCTGCAAGTGGACATTTGGAGCGCTTTCAGGCCTGTGGTGGAAAAGGCCTGAAAGCCTTTTCCTTTATCTTCACAGAAAGACGAGAGAGAAGCATTGTCAGAAACTTCTTTGTGATGATTGCATTCAACTCACAGAGTTGAAGATTCCTTTTGAAACAGCAGTTTCGAAACACTCTTTCTGTGGGATCCGCAAGGGGATATTTGGACCTCTTTGAAGGTTTCGTTGGAAACGGGATAATCTTCTCCTAAAAGCTAAACGGAAGCATTCTCAGAAAACTTCTTTGGGATGTTTGCATTCACCTCACAGAGTTGAACTTTCCCTTTGATAGCGCAGCTTCGACACACTTTTTCTACAATGTGCAAGTGGATATTTAGCGGGCTTGGAGGACTGTGTTGGAAAAGGAAATATCTTCTCCTAAAAACGACATAGAAGCATTCTCAGAAACTGCTCTGTGATGATTGCATTCAACTCCCAGAGTTGAACATTCCTTTTGATAGAGCAGTTTGCAAACACTCTTTTTGTAGAATCTGCAAGTGGAGATTTGGACCGCTTTGAGGCCTGTGGTAGTGAAGGAAAGAACTTCATATAAAAACCAGACGGTAGCACTCTCAGAAAATTCTTTGTGACGATGGAGTTTAACTCAGGGAGCTGAACATTCGTTATGATGGAGCAGTTTCCAAACACACGTTTTGTAGAATCTGCGAGGGGATATTTGGACCTCTCTGAGGATTTCGTTGGAAACGGGATCAACTTCCCATGACTGAACGGAAGCAAACTCAGAACATTCTTTGTGATGTTTGTATTCAATTCACAGAGTTGAACCTTCCTTTGATAGTTCAGGTTTGCAACACCCTTGTAGTAGAATCTGCAAGTGTATATTTTGACCACTTTGTAGCCTTCGTTTGAAACGTCTATATCTTCACATCAAACCTAGACAGAAGCATTCTCAGAAAGTTTTCTGCGATGACTGCATTCAACTCACAGAGTTGAACAATCCTTCTGATGGAGCAGTTTTGAAACCCTCTTTCTTTGGAATCTGCAAGGGGATATGTGGACCTCTTTGAAGATTTCACTGGAAACGGGATCGATCATCTTCACATAAAAACTAAACAGAAGCATTCTCGGAAACTATTTTGTGATGTTTGTATTCAACTCCCAGAGTTGAACTTTCCTTTTGAAAGAGCAGCTATGAAACACTCTTTTTCGAGAATCTGCAAGTGGACGTTTGGAGGGCTTTGAGGCCTGTGGTGGAAAAGGAAATATCTTCACACAAAAACCAGATAGAAGCATTCTCAGAAGCGACTTTGTGAGGATGGCATTCAACTCATGGAGTTGAACAATCCTATTGATACAGCAGATTGGAATCACTCTTTTTGTAGAATGTGCAAATGGAGATTTGGACTGCTTTGAGGCCTACGGTAGTACAGGAAGGAACTTCATATAAAAGGCAAACGGAAGCATTCTCAGAATATTCTTTGTGATGATGGAGTTTCACTGACAGAGCTGAACATGCCTTTTGATGGAGCAGTTTCCAAATACACTTTTGGTAGAATCTGCAGGTGGATATTTGGAGCTCTTTGAGGATTTCGTTGGAAACGGGAATAATTTCCCATAACTAAACACAAACACGCTGAGAAAGTTCTTCATGATGAATGCATTTAACTCGCAGAGATGAACCTGCCTTTGAGAGTTCAGTTTCGAAACACTCTTTCTGTAGAATCTGCAAGTGGATATTTGGACCACTGGGTGGCCTTCGTTCGAAACGGGTATATGTTCACGTAAAAACTAAAGAGAAGCATTCTCAGAAACTTCTGAGTGATGATTGCATTCAAGTCACACAGTTGAACCCTCCTTTTGATGGAGCAGTTTTGAAACTGTCTTTTTGTAGAATCTGTAAGTGGATACGTGGACCTCTTTGAAGATTTCTTTGGAAACGGGAATATTTCCACAGAAAAACTAAACTGAAGCATTCTCAGAAACCGCTTTGTGATGTTTGTGTTCGAGCCGCAGAGTTTAACATTGCTTTTCATAGAGCAGTTTTGAAATATTCTTTTGGCAGAATCTGCAAGTGGACATTTGGAGCGCTTTCAGGCCTGTGGTGGCAAAGGCCTGAAAGCCTTTTCCTTTATCTTCACAGAAAGACGAGAGAGAAGCATTGTCAGAAACTTCTTTGTGATGATTGCATTCAACTCACAGAGTTGAAGATTCCTTTTGAAACAGCAGTTTCGAAACACTCTTTCTGTGGGATCCGCAAGGGGATATTTGGACCTCTTTGAAGGTTTCGTTGGAAACGGGATAATCTTCACCTAAAAGCTAAACGGAAGCATTCTCAGAAACTTCTTTGGGATGTTTGCATTCACCTCACAGAGTTGAACTTTCCCTTTGATAGCGCAGCTTTGACACACTTTTTCTACAATGTGCAAGTGGCTATTTAGCGGGCTTGGAGGATTGTGTTGGAAAAGGAAATATCTTCTCCTAAAAACGACATAGAAGCATTCTCAGAAACTGCTCTGTGATGATTGCATTCAACTCCCAGAGTTGAACATTCCTTTTGATAGAGCAGTTTGCAAACACTCTTTTTGTAGAATCTGCAAGTGGAGACTTGGACCGCTTTGAGGCCTGTGGTAGTGAAGGAAAGAACTTCATATAAAAACCATACGGTAGCACTCTCAGAAAATTCTTTGTGAGGATGGAGTTTAACTCAGGGAGCTGAACATTCGTTATGATGGAGCAGTTTCCAAACACACCTTTTGTAGAATCTGCAAGGGGATATTTGGACCTCTCTGAGGATTTCGTTGGAAACGGGATCAACTTCCCATAACTGAACGGAAGCAAACTCAGAACATTCTTTGTGATGTTTGTATTCAACTCACAGAGTTGAACCTTCCTTTGATAGTTCAGGTTTGCAACACCCTTGTAGTAGAATCTGCAAGTGTATATTTTGACCACTTTGTAGCCTTCGTTTGAAACGTCTATATCTTCACATCAAACCTAGACAGAAGCATTCTCAGAAAGTTTTCTGCGATGACTGCATTCAACTCACAGAGTTGAACAATCCTTCTGATGGAGCAGTTTTGAAACCCTCTTTCTTTGGAATCTGCAAGGGGATATGTGGACCTCTTTGAAGATTTCACTGGAAACGGGATCATCTTCACATAAAAACTAAACAGAAGCATTCTCGGAAACTACTTTGTGATGTTTGTATTCAACTGCCAGATTTGAACTTTCCTTTTGAAAGAGCAGCTATGAAACACTCTTTTTCGAGAATCTGCAAGTGGACGCTTGGAGGGCTTTGAGGCCTGTGGTGGAAAAGGAAATATCTTCACATAAAAACTAGATAGAAGCATTCTCAGAAACGACTTTGTGAGGATGGCATTCAACTCATGGAGTTGAACAATCCTATTGATAGAGCAGATTGGAATCACTCTTTTTGTAGAATCTGCAAATGGAGATTTGGACTGCTTTGAGGCCTACGGTCGTATAGGAAGGAACTTCATATAAAAGGCAAACGGAAGCATTCTAAGAATATTCTTTATGATGATGGAGTTTCACTCACAGAGCTGAACATGCCTTTTGATGGAGCAGTTTCCAAATACACTTTTGGTAGAATCTGCAGGTGGATATTTGGAGCTCTCTGAGGATTTCGTTGGAAACGGGAATAATTTCCCATAACTAAACACAAACACGCTGAGAAAGTTCTTCATGATGAATGCATTTAACTCGCAGAGATGAACCTGCCTTTGAGAGTTCAGGTTCGAAACACTCCTTCTGTAGAATCTGCAAGTGGATATTTGGACCACTGGCTGGCCTTCGTTCGAAACGGGTATATGTTCACGTAAAAACTAAAGAGAAGCATTCTCAGAAACTTCTGAGTGATGATTGCATTCAAGTCACACAGTTGAACCCTCCTTTTGATGGAGCAGTTTTGAAACTGTCTTTTTGTAGAATCTGTAAGTGGATACGTGGACCTCTTTGAAGATTTCTTTGGAAACGGGAATATTTCCACAGAAAAACTAAACTGAAACATTCTCAAAAACCGCTTTGTGATGTTTGTGTTCGAGCCACAGAGTTTAACATTGCTTTTCATAGAGCAGTTTTGAAATATTCTTTTCGCAGAATCTGCAAGTGGACATTTGGAGTGCTTTCAGGCCTGTGGTGGCAAAGGCCTGAAAGCCTTTTCCTTTATCTTCACAGAAAGACGAGAGAGAAGCATTGTCAGAAACTTCTTTGTGATGATTGCATTCAACTCACAGAGTTGAAGATTCCTTTTGAAACAGCAGTTTCGAAACACTCTTTCTGTGGGATCCGCAAGGGGATATTTGGACCTCTTTGAAGGTTTCGTTGGAAACGGGATAATCTTCTCCTAAAAGCTAAACGGAAGCATTCTCAGAAACTTCTTTGGGATGTTTGCATTCACCTCACAGAGTTGAACTTTCCCTTTGATAGCGCAGCTTTGACACACTTTTTCTACAATGTGCAAGTGGCTATTTAGCGGGCTTGGAGGACTGTGTTGGAAAAGGAAATATCTTCTCCTAAAAACGACATAGAAGCATTCTCAGAAACTGCTCTGTGATGATTGCATTCAACTCCCAGAGTTGAACATTCCTTTTGATAGAGCAGTTTGCAAACACTCTTTTTGTAGAATCTGCAAGTGGAGATTTGGACCGCTTTGAGGCCTGTGGTAGTGAAGGAAAGAACTTCATATAAAAACCAGACGGTAGCACTCTCAGAAAATTCTTTGTGACGATGGAGTTTAACTCAGGGAGCTGAACATTCGTTATGATGGAGCAGTTTCCAAACACACGTTTTGTAGAATCTGCGAGGGGATATTTGGACCTCTCTGAGGATTTCGTTGGAAACGGGATCAACTTCCCATAACTGAACGGAAGCAAACTCAGAACATTCTTTGTGATGTTTGTATTCAACTCACAGAGTTGAACCTTCCTTTGATAGTTCAGGTTTGCAACACCCTTGTAGTAGAATCTGCAAGTGTATATTTTGACCACTTTGTAGCCTTCGTTTGAAACGTCTATATCTTCACATCAAACCTAGAAAGAAGCATTCTCAGAAAGTTTTCTGCGATGACTGCATACAACTCATAGAGTTGAGTAATCCTTTTGATGGAGCAGTTTTGAAACCCTCTTTCTTTGGAATCTGCAAGGGGATATGTGGACCTCTTTCAAGATTTCACTGGAAACGGGATCATCTTCACATAAGAACTAAACAGAAGCATTCTCGGAAACTACTTTGTGAGGTTTGTATTCAACTCCCAGAGTTGAACTTTCCTTTTGAAAGAGCAGCTATGAAACACTCTTTTTCGAGAATCTGCAAGTGGACGTTTGGAGGGCTTTGAGGCCTGTGGTGGAAAAGGAAATATCTTCACATAAAAACTAGATAGAAGCATTCTCAGAAACGACTTTGTGAGGATGGCATTCAACTCATGGAGTTGAACAATCCTATTGATAGAGCAGATTGGAATCACTCTTTTTGTAGAATCTGCAAATGGAGATTTGGACTGCTTTGAGGCCTACGGTCGTATAGGAAGGAACTTCATATAAAAGGCAAACGGAAGCATTCTCAGTATATTCTTTGTGATGATGGAGTTTCACTCACAGAGCTGAACATGCCTTTTGATGGAGCAGTTTCCAAATACACTTTTGGTAGAATCTGCAGGTGGATATTTGGACCTCTCTGAGGATTTCGTTGGAAACGGGAATAATTTCCCATAACTAAACACAAACACTCTGAGAAAGTTCTTCATGATGAATGCATTTAACTCGCAGAGATGAACCTGCCTTTGAGAGTTCATGTTCGAAACACTCTTTCTGTAGAATCTGCAAGTGGATATTTGGACCACTGGCTGGCCTTCGTTCGAAACGGGTATATGTTCACGAAAAAACTAAAGAGAAGCATTCTCAGAAACTTCTGAGTGATGATTGCATTCAAGTCACACAGTTGAACCCTCCTTTTGATGGAGCAGTTTTGAAACTGTCTTTTTGTAGAATCTGTAAGTGGATACGTGGACCTCTTTGAAGATTTCTTTGGAAACGGGAATATTTCCACAGAAAAACTAAACTGAAGCATTCTCAGAAACCGCTTTGTGATGTTTGTGTTCGAGCCACAGAGTTTAACATTGCTTTTCATAGAGCAGTTTTGAAATATTCTTTTGGCAGAATCTGCAAGTGGACATTTGGAGCGCTTTCAGGCCTGTGGTGGAAAAGGCCTGAAAGCCTTTTCCTTTATCTTCACAGAAAGACGAGAGAGAAGCATTGTCAGAAACTTCTTTGTGATGATTGCATTCAACCCACAGAGTTGAAGATTCCTTTTGAAACAGCAGTTTCGAAACACTCTTTCTGTGGGATCCGCAAGGGGATATTTGGACCTCTTTGAAGGTTTCGTTGGAAACGGGATAATCTTCACCTAAAAGCTAAACGGAAGCATTCTCAGAAACTTCTTTGGGATGTTTGCATTCACCTCACAGAGTTGAACTTTCCCTTTGATAGCGCAGCTTTGACACACTTTTTCTACAATGTGCAAGTGGCTATTTAGCGGGCTTGGAGGACTGTGTTGGAAAAGGAAATATCTTCTCCTAAAAACGACATAGAAGCATTCTCAGAAACTGCTCTGTGATGATTGCATTCAACTCCCAGAGTTGAACATTCCTTTTGATAGAGCAGTTTGCAAACACTCTTTTTGTAGAATCTGCAAGTGGAGATTTGGACCGCTTTGAGGCCTGTGGTAGTGAAGGAAAGAACTTCATATAAAAACCAGACGGTAGCACTCTCAGAAAATTCTTTGTGACGATGGAGTTTAACTCAGAGAGCTGAACATTCGTTATGATGGAGCAGTTTCCAAACACACGTTTTGTAGAATCTGCAAGGGGATATTTGGACCTCTCTGAGGATTTCGTTGGAAATGGGATCAACTTCCCATAACTGAACGGAAGCAAACTCAGAACATTCTTTGTGATGTTTGTATTCAACTCACAGAGTTGAACCTTCCTTTGATAGTTCAGGTTTGCAACACCCTTGTAGTAGAATCTGCAAGTGTATATTTTGACCACTTTGTAGCCTTCGTTTGAAACGTCTATATCTTCACCTCAAACCTAGACAGAAGCATTCTCAGAAAGTTTTCTGCGATGACTGCATTCAACTCACAGAGTTGAACAATCCTTTTGATGGAGCAGTTTTGAAACCCTCTTTCTTTGGAATCTGCAAGGGGATATGTGGACCTCTTTGAAGATTTCACTGGAAACGGGATCATCTTCACATAAGAACTAAACAGAAGCATTCTCGGAAACTACTTTGTGATGTTTGTATTCAACTCCCAGAGTTGAACTTTCCTTTTGAAAGAGCAGCTATGAAACACTCTTTTTCGAGAATCTGCAAGTGGACGTTTGGAGGGCTTTGAGGCCTGTGGTGGAAAAGGAAATATCTTCACATAAAAACTAGATAGAAGCATTCTCAGAAACGACTTTGTGAGGATGGCATTCAACTCATGGAGTTGAACAATCCTATTGATAGAGCAGATTGGAATCACTCTTTTTGTAGAATCTGCAAATGGAGATTTGCACTGCTTTGAGGCCTACGGTCGTATAGGAAGGAACTTCATATAAAAGGCAAACGGAAGCATTCTCAGAATATTCTTTGTGATGATGGAGTTTCATTCACAGAGCTGAACATGCCTGTTGATGGAGCAGTTTCCAAATACACTTTTGGTAGAATCTGCAGGTGGATATTTGGAGCTCTCTGAGGATTTCGTTGGAAACGGGAATAATTTCCCATAACTAAACACAAACACTCTGAGAAAGTTCTTCATGATGAATGCATTCAACTCGCAGAGATGAACCTGCCTTTGAGAGTTCAGGTTCGAAACACTCTTTCTGTAGAATCTGCAAGTGGATATTTGGACCACTGGGTGGCCTTCGTTCGAAACGGGTATATGTTCACGTAAAAACTAAAGAGAAGCATTCTCAGAAACTTCTGAGTGATGATTGCATTCAAGTCACACAGTTGAACCCTCCTTTTGATGGAGCAGTTTTGAAACTGTCTTTTTGTAGAATCTGTAAGTGGATACGTGGACCTCTTTGAAGATTTCTTTGGAAACGGGAATATTTCCACAGAAAAACTAAACTGAAGCATTCTCAGAAACTGCTTTGTGATGTTTGTGTTCGAGCCACAGAGTTTAACATTGCTTTTCATAGAGCAGTTTTGAAATATTCTTTTGGCAGAATCTGCAAGTGGACATTTGGAGCGCTTTCAGGCCTGTGGTGGAAAAGGCCTGAAAGCCTTTTCCTTTATCTTCACAGAAAGACGAGAGAGAAGCATTGTCAGAAACTTCTTTGTGATGATTGCATTCAACCCACAGAGTTGAAGATTCCTTTTGAAACAGCAGTTTCGAAACACTCTTTCTGTGGGATCCGCAAGGGGATATTTGGACCTCTTTGAAGGTTTCGTTGGAAACGGGATAATCTTCACCTAAAAGCTAAACGGAAGCATTCTCAGAAACTTCTTTGGGATGTTTGCATTCACCTCTCAGAGTTGAACTTTCCCTTTGATAGCGCAGCTTTGACACACTTTTTCTACAATGTGCAAGTGGCTATTTAGCGGGCTTGGAGGACTGTGTTGGAAAAGGAAATATCTTCTCCTAAAAACGACATAGAAGCATTCTCAGAAACTGCTCTGTGATGATTGCATTCAACTCCCAGAGTTGAACATTCCTTTTGATAGAGCAGTTTGCAAACACTCTTTTTGTAGAATCTGCAAGTGGAGATTTGGACCGCTTTGAGGCCTGTGGTAGTGAAGGAAAGAACTTCATATAAAAACCAGACGGTAGCACTCTCAGAAAATTCTTTGTGACGATGGAGTTTAACTCAGAGAGCTGAACATTCGTTATGATGGAGCAGTTTCCAAACACACGTTTTGTAGAATCTGCAAGGGGATATTTGGACCTCTCTGAGGATTTCATTGGAAACGGGATCAACTTCCCATAACTGAACGGAAGCAAACTCAGAACATTCTTTGTGATGTTTGTATTCAATTCACAGAGTTGAACCTTCCTTTGATAGTTCAGGTTTGCAACACCCTTGTAGTAGAATCTGCAAGTGTATATTTTGACCACTTTGTAGCCTTCGTTTGAAACGTCTATATCTTCACATCAAACCTAGACAGAAGCATTCTCAGAAAGATTTCTGCGATGACTGCATTGAACTCACAGAGTTGAACAATCCTTCTGATGGAGCAGTTTTTAAACCCTCTTTCTTTGGAATCTGCAAGGGGATATGTGGACCTCTTTGAAGATTTCACTGGAAACGGGATCATCTTCACATAAAAACTAAACAGAAGCATTCTCGGAAACTACTTTGTGATGTTTGTATTCAACTCCCAGAGTTGAACTTTCCTTTTGAAAGAGCAGCTATAAAACACTCTTTTTCGAGAATCTGCAAGTGGACGTTTGGAGGGCTTTGAGGCCTGTGGTGGAAAAGGAAATATCTTCACATAAAAACTAGATAGAAGCATTCTCAGAAACGAGTTTGTGAGGATGGCATTCAACTCATGGAGTTGAACAATCCTATTGATAGAGCAGATTGGAATCACTCTTTTTGTAGAATCTGCAAATGGAGATTTGGACTGCTTTGAGGCCTACGGTCGTATAGGAAGGAACTTCAGATAAAAGGCAAACGGAAGCATTCTCAGAATATTCTTTGTGATGATGGAGTTTCACTCACAGAGCTGAACATGCCTTTTGATGGAGCAGTTTCCAAATACACTTTTGGTAGAATCTGCAGGTGGATATTTGGACCACTCTGAGGATTTCGTTGGAAACGGGAATAATTTCCCATAACTAAACACAAACACTCTGAGAAAGTTCTTCATGATGAATGCATTTAACTCGCAGAGATGAACCTGCCTTTGAGAGTTCAGGTTCGAAACACTCTTTCTGTATAATCTGCAAGTGGATATTTGGACCACTGGGTGGCCTTCGTTCGAAACGGGTATATGTTCACGTAAAAACTAAAGAGAAGCATTCTCAGAAACTTCTGAGTGATGATTGCATTCAAGTCACACAGTTGAACCCTCCTTCTGATGGAGCAGTTTTGAAACTGTCTTTTTGTAGAATCTGTAAGTGGATGCGTGGACCTCTTTGAAGATTTCTTTGGAAACGGGAATATTTCCACAGAAAAACTAAACTGAAGCATTCTCAGAAACTGCTTTGTGATGTTTGTGTTCGAGCCACAGAGTTTAACATTGCTTTTCATAGAGCAGTTTTGAAATATTCTTTTCGCAGAATTTGCAAGTGGACATTTGGAGCGTTTTCAGGCCTGTGGTGGCAAAGGCCTGAAAGCCTTTTCCTTTATCTTCACAGAAAGACGAGAGAGAAGCATTGTCAGAAACTTCTTTGTGATGATTGCATTCAACTCACAGAGTTGAAGATTCCTTTTGAAACAGCAGTTTCGAAACACTCTTTCTGTGGGATCCGCAAGGGGATATTTGGACTTCTTTGAAGGTTTCGTTGGAAACGGGATAATCTTCACCTAAAAGCTAAACGGAAGCACTCTCAGAAACTTCTTTGGGATGTTTGCATTCACCTCACAGAGTTGAACTTTCCCTTTGATAGCGCAGCTTTGACACACTTTTTCTACAATGTGCAAGTGGCTATTTAGCGGGCTTGGAGGACTGTGTTGGAAAAGGAAATATCTTCTCCTAAAAACGACATAGAAGCATTCTCAGAAACTGCTCTGTGATGATTGCATTCAACTCCCAGAGTTGAACATTCCTTTTGATAGAGCAGTTTGCAAACACTCTTTTTGTAGAATCTGCAAGTGGAGATTTGGACCGCTTTGAGGCCTGTGGTAGTGAAGGAAAGAACTTCATATAAAAACCAGACGGTAGCACTCTCAGAAAATTCTTTGTGACGATGGAGTTTAACTCAGGGAGCTGAACATTCGTTATGATGGAGCAGTTTCCAAACACACGTTTTGTAGAATCTGCAAGGGGATATTTGGACCTCTCTGAGGATTTCGTTGGAAACGGGATCAACTTCCCATAACTGAACGGAAGCAAACTCAGAACATTCTTTGTGATGTTTGTATTCAACTCACAGAGTTGAACCTTCCTTTGATAGTTCAGGTTTGCAACACCCTTGTAGTAGAATCTGCAAGTGTATATTTTGACCACTTTGTAGCCTTCATTTGAAACGTCTATATCTTCACATCAAACCTAGACAGAAGCATTCTCAGAAAGTTTTCTGCGATGACTGCATTCAACTCACAGAGTTGAACAATCCTTTTGATGGAGCAGTTTTGAAACCCTCTTTCTTTGGAATCTGCAAGGGGATATGTGGACCTCTTTGAAGATTTCACTGGAAACGGGATCATCTTCACATAAGAACTAAACAGAAGCATTCTCAGAAACTACTTTGTGATGTTTGTATTCAACTCCCAGAGTTGAACTTTCCTTTTGAAAGAGCAGCTATGAAACACTCTTTTTCGAGAATCTGCAAGTGGACGTTTGGAGGGCTTTGAGGCCTGTGGTGGAAAAGGAAATATCTTCACATAAAAACTAGATAGAAGCATTCTCACAAACGACTTTGTGAGGATGGCATTCAAATCATGGAGTTCAACAATCCTATTGATAGAGCAGATTGGAATCACTCTTTTTGTAGAATCTGCAAATGGAGATTTGGACTGCTTTGAGGCCTACGGTAGTATAGGAAGGAACTTCATATAAAAGGCAAACGGAAGCATTCTCAGAATATTCTTTGTGCTGATGGAGTTTCACTCACAGAGCTGAACATGCCTTTTGATGGAGCAGTTTCCAAATACACTTTTGGTAGAATCTGCAGGTGGATATTTGGAGCTCTCTGAGGATTTCGTTGGAAACGGGAATAATTTCCCATAACTAAACAGAAACACTCTGAGAAAGTTCTTCATGATGAATGCATTTAACTCGCAGAGATGAACCTGCCTTTGAGAGTTCAGGTTCGAAACACTCTTTCTGTAGAATCTGCAAGTGGATATTTGGACCACTGGGTGGCCTTCGTTCGAAACGGGTATATGTTCACGTAAAAACTAAAGAGAAGCATTCTCAGAAACTTCTGAGTGATGATTGCATTCAAGTCACACAGTTGAACCCTCCTTTTGATGGAGCAGTTTTGAAACTGTCTTTTTGTAGAGTCTGTAAGTGGATACGTGGACCTCTTTGAAGATTTCTTTGGAAACGGGAATATTTCCACAGAAAAACTAAACTGAAGCATTCTCAGAAACTGCTTTGTGATGTTTGTGTTCGAGCCACAGAGTTTAACATTGCTTTTCATAGAGCAGTTTTGAAATATTCTTTTCGCAGAATCTGCAAGTGGACATTTGGAGCGCTTTCAGGCCTGTGGTGGCAAAGGCCTGAAAGCCTTTTCCTTTATCTTCACAGAAAGACGAGAGAGAAGCATTGTCAGAAACTTCTTTGTGATGATTGCATTCAACTCACAGAGTTGAAGATTCCTTTTGAAACAGCAGTTTCGAAACACTCTTTCTGTGGGATCCGCAAGGGGATATTTGGACCTCTTTGAAGGTTTCGTTGGAAACGGGATAATCTTCACCTAAAAGCTAAACGGAAGCATTCTCAGAAACTTCTTTGGGATGTTTGCATTCACCTCACAGAGTTGAACTTTCCCTTTGATAGCGCAGCTTTGACACACTTTTTCTACAATGTGCAAGTGGCTATTTAGCGGGCTTGGAGGACTGTGTTGGAAAAGGAAATATCTTCTCCTAAAAACGACATAGAAGCATTCTCAGAAACTGCTCTGTGATGATTGCATTCAACTCCCAGAGTTGAACATTCCTTTTGATAGAGCAGTTTGCAAACACTCTTTTTGTAGAATCTGCAAGTGGAGATTTGGACCGCTTTGAGGCCTGTGGTAGTGAAGGAAAGAACTTCATATAAAAACCAGACGGTAGCACTCTCAGAAAATTCTTTGTGACGATGGAGTTTAACTCAGGGAGCTGAACATTCGTTATGATGGAGCAGTTTCCAAACACACGTTTTGTAGAATCTGCAAGTGGATATTTGGACCTCTCTGAGGATTTCGTTGGAAACGGGATCAACTTCCCATAACTGAACGGAAGCAAACTCAGAACATTCTTTGTGATGTTTGTATTCAACTCACAGAGTTGAACCTTCCTTTCATAGTTCAGGTTTGCAACACCCTTGTAGTAGAATCTGCAAGTGTATATTTTGACCACTTTGTAGCCTTCGTTTGAAACGTCTATATCTTCACATCAAACCTAGACAGAAGCATTCTCAGAAAGTTTTCTGCGATGACTGCATTCAACTCACAGAGTTGAACAATCCTTCTGATGGAGCAGTTTTGAAACCCTCTTTCTTTGGAATCTGCAAGGGGATATGTGGACCTCTTTGAAGATTTCACTGGAAACGGGATCATCTTCACATAAAAACTAAACAGAAGCATTCTCGGAAACTAGTTTGTGATGTTTGTATTCAACTCCCAGAGTTGAACTTTCCTTTTGAAAGAGCAGCTATGAAACACTCTTTTTCGAGAATCTGCAAGTGGACGTTTGGAGGGCTTTGAGGTCTGTGGTGGAAAAGGAAATATCTTCACACAAAAACCAGATAGAAGCATTCTCAGAAACGACTTTGTGAGGATGGCATTCAACTCATGGAGTTGAACAATCCTATTGATAGAGCAGATTGGAATCACTCTTTTTGTAGAATCTGCAAATGGAGATTTGGACTGCTTTGAGGCCTACGGTCGTATAGGAAGGAACTTCATATAAAAGGCAAACGGAAGCATTCTCAGAATATTCTTTGTGATGATGGAGTTTCACTCACAGAGCTGAACATGCCTTTTGATGGAGCAGTTTCCAAATACACTTTTGGTAGAATCTGCAGGTGGATATTTGGAGCTCTCTGAGGATTTCGTTGGAAACTGGAATAATTTCCCATAACTAAACACAAACACGCTGAGAAAGTTCTTCATGATGAATGCATTTAACTCGCAGAGATGAACCTGCCTTTGAGAGTTCAGGTTCGAAACACTCTTTCTGTAGAATCTGCAAGTGGATATTTGGACCACTGGCTGGCCTTCGTTCGAAACGGGTATATGTTCACGTAAAAACTAAAGAGAAGCATTCTCAGAAACTTCTGAGTGATGATTGCATTCAAGTCACACAGTTGAACCCTCCTTTTGATGGAGCAGTTTTGAAACTGTCTTTTTGTAGAATCTGTAAGTGGATACGTGGACCTCTTTGAAGATTTCTTTGGAAACGGGAATATTTCCACAGAAAAACTAAACTGAAGCATTCTCAGAAACTGCTTTGTGATGTTTGTGTTCGAGCCACAGAGTTTAACATTGCTTTTCATAGAGCAGTTTTGAAATATTCTTTTGGCAGAATCTGCAAGTGGACATTTGGAGCGCTTTCAGGCCTGTGGTGGAAAAGGCCTGAAAGCCTTTTCCTTTATCTTCACAGAAAGACGAGAGAGAAGCATTGTCAGAAACTTCTTTGTGATGATTGCATTCAACTCACAGAGTTGAAGATTCCTTTTGAAACAGCAGTTTCGAAACACTCTTTCTGTGGGATCCGCAAGGGGATATTTGGACCTCTTTGAAGGTTTCGTTGGAAACGGGATAATCTTCACCTAAAAGCTAAACGGAAGCACTCTCAGAAACTTCTTTGGGATGTTTGCATTCACCTCTCAGAGTTGAACTTTCCCTTTGATAGCGCAGCTTTGACACACTTTTTCTACAATGTGCAAGTGGCTATTTAGCGGGCTTGGAGGACTGTGTTGGAAAAGGAAATATCTTCTCCTAAAAACGACATAGAAGCATTCTCAGAAACTGCTCTGTGATGATTGCATTCAACTCCCAGAGTTGAACATTCCTTTTGATAGAGCAGTTTGCAAACACTCTTTTTGTAGAATCTGCAAGTGGAGATTTGGACCGCTTTGAGGCCTGTGGTAGTAA
The DNA here is from genome assembly GCF_000001405.40 of Homo sapiens. NCBI lineage: Eukaryota > Metazoa > Chordata > Mammalia > Primates > Hominidae > Homo > Homo sapiens. The sequence goes on from NC_000023.11 coordinate 62,096,708, forward strand.
AGGAAAGAACTTCATATAAAAACTAGACGGTAGCACTCTCAGCAAAATTCTTTGTGACGATGGAGTTTAACTCAGGGAGCTGAACATTCGTTATGATGGAGCAGTTTCCAAACACACGTTTTGTAGAATCTGCAAGGGGATATTTGGACCTCTCTGAGGATTTCGCTGGAAACGGGATCAACTGCCCATAACTGAACGGAAGCAAACTCAGAACATTCTTTGTGATGTTTGTATTCAACTCACAGAGTTGAACCTTCCTTTGATAGTTCAGGTTTGCATCACCCTTGTAGTAGAATCTGCAAGTGTATATGTTGACCACTTTGTAGCCTTCGTTTGAAACGTCTATATCTTCACATCAAACCTAGACAGAAGCATTCTCAGAAAGTTTTCTGCGATGACTGCATTCAACTCACAGAGTTGAACAATCCTTTTGATGGAGCAGTTTTGAAACCCTCTTTCTTTGGAATCTGCAAGGTGATATGTGGACCTCTTTGAAGATTTCACTGGAAACGGGATCATCTTCACATAAGAACTAAACAGAAGCATTCTCGGAAACTACTTTGTGATGTTTGTATTCACCTCCCAGAGTTGAAATTTCCTTTTGAAATAGCAGCTATGAAACACACTTTTTCGAGAATCTGCAAGTGGACGTTTGGAGGGCTTTGAGGCCTGTGGTGGAAAAGGAAATATCTTCACATAAAAACTAGATAGAAGCATTCTCAGAAACGACTTTGTGAGGATGGCATTCAACTCATGGAGTTGAACAATCCTATTGATAGAGCAGATTGGAATCACTCTTTTTGTAGAATCTGCAAATGGAGATTTGGACTGCTTTGAGGCCTACGGTAGTATAGGAAGGAACTTCATATAAAAGGCAAACGGAAGCATTCTCAGAATATTCTTTGTGATGATGGAGTTTCACTCACAGAGCTGAACATGCCTTTTGATGGAGCAGTTTCCAAATACACTTTTGGTAGAATCTGCAGGTGGATATTTGGACCTCTCTGAGGATTTCGTTGGAAACGGGAATAATTTCCCATAACTAAACACAAACACTCTGAGAAAGTTCTTCATGATGAATGCATTTAACTCGCAGAGATGAACCTGCCTTTGAGAGTTCAGGTTCGAAACACTCTTTCTGTAGAATCTGCAAGTGGATATTTGGACCACTGGGTGGCCTTCGTTCGAAACGGGTATATGTTCACGTAAAAACTAAAGAGAAGCATTCTCAGAAACTTCTGAGTGATGATTGCATTCAAGTCACACAGTTGAACCCTCCTTTTGATGGAGCAGTTTTGAAACTGTCTTTTTGTAGAATCTGTAAGTGGATACGTGGACCTCTTTGAAGATTTCTTTGGAAACGGGAATATTTCCACAGAAAAACTAAACTGAAGCATTCTCAGAAACCGCTTTGTGATGTTTGTGTTCGAGCCGCAGAGTTTAACATTGCTTTTCATAGAGCAGTTTTGAAATATTCTTTTCGCAGAATCTGCAAGTGGACATTTGGAGCTGCTTTCAGGCCTGTGGTGGAAAAGGCCTGAAAGCCTTTTCCTTTATCTTCACAGAAAGACGAGAGAGAAGCATTGTCAGAAACTTCTTTGTGATGATTGCATTCAACTCACAGAGTTGATTTTCCTTTTGAAACAGCAGTTTCGAAACACTCTTTCTGTGGGATCCGCAAGGGGATATTTGGACCTCTTTGAAGGTTTCGTTGGAAACGGGATAATCTTCACCTAAAAGCTAAACGGAAGCATTCTCAGAAACTTCTTTGGGATGTTTGCATTCACCTCACAGAGTTGAACTTTCCCTTTGATAGCGCAGCTTTGACACACTTTTTCTACAATGTGCAAGTGGCTATTTAGCGGGCTTGGAGGACTGTGTTGGAAAAGGAAATATCTTCTCCTAAAAACGACATAGAAGCATTCTCAGAAACTGCTCTGTGATGATTGCATTCAACTCCCAGAGTTGAACATTCCTTTTGATAGAGCAGTTTGCAAACACTCTTTTTGTAGAATCTGCAAGTGGAGATTTGGACCGCTTTGAGGCCTGTGGTAGTGAAGGAAAGAACTTCATATAAAAACCAGACGGTAGCACTCTCAGAAAATTCTTTGTGACGATGGAGTTTAACTCAGGGAGCTGAACATTCGTTATGATGGAGCAGTTTCCAAACACACGTTTTGTAGAATCTGCGAGGGGATATTTGGACCTCTCTGAGGATTTCGTTGGAAAAGGGATCAACTTCCCATAACTGAACGGAAGCAAACTCAGAACATTCTTTGTGATGTTTGTATTCAACTCACAGAGTTGAACCTTCCTTTGATAGTTCAGGTTTGCAACACCCTTGTAGTAGAATCTGCAAGTGTATATTTTGACCACTTTGTAGCCTTCGTTTGAAACGTCTATATCTTCACATCAAACCTAGAAAGAAGCATTCTCAGAAAGTTTTCTGCGATGACTGCATTCAACTCACAGAGTTGAACAATCCTTTTGATGGAGCAGTTTTGAAACCCTCTTTCTTTGGAATCTGCAAGGGGATATGTGGACCTCTTTGAAGATTTCACTGGAAACGGGATCATCTTCACATAAGAACTAAACAGAAGCATTCTCGGAAACTACTTTGTGATGTTTGTATTCAACTCCCAGAGTTGAACTTTCCTTTTGAAAGAGCAGCTATGAAACACTCTTTTTCGAGAATCTGCAAGTGGACGTTTGGAGGGCTTTGAGGCCTGTGGTGGAAAAGGAAATATCTTCACATAAAAACTAGATAGAAGCATTCTCAGAAACGACTTTGTGAGGATGGCATTCAACTCATGGAGTTGAACAATCCTATTGATAGAGCAGAATGGAATCACTCTTTTTGTAGAATCTGCAAATGGAGATTTGGACTGCTTTGAGGCCTACGGTAGTATAGGAAGGAACTTCATATAAAAGGCAAACGGAAGCATTCTCAGAATATTCTTTGTGACGATGGAGTTTCACTCACAGAGCTGAACATGCCTTTTGATGGAGCAGTTTCCAAATACACTTTTGGTAGAATCTGCAGGTGGATATTTGGACCTCTCTGAGGATTTCGTTGGAAACGGGAATAATTTCCCATACCTAAACACAAACACTCTGAGAACGTTCTTCATGATGAATGCATTTAACTCGCAGAGATGAACCTGCCTTTGAGAGTTCAGGTTCGAAACACTCTTTCTGTAGAATCTGCAAGTGGATATTTGGACCACTGGGTGGCCTTCGTTCGAAACGGGTATATGTTCACGTAAAAACTAAAGAGAAGCATTCTCAGAAACTTCTGAGTGATGATTGCATTCAAGTCACACAGTTGAACCCTCCTTTTGATGGAGCAGTTTTGAAACTGTCTTTTTGTAGAATCTGTAAGTGGATACGTGGACCTCTTTGAAGATTTCTTTGGAAACGGGAATATTTCCACAGAAAAACTAAACTGAAGCATTCTCAGAAACCGCTTTGTGATGTTTGTGTTCGAGCCACAGAGTTTAACATTGCTTTTCACAAAGCAGTTTTGAAATATTCTTTTGGCAGAATCTGCAAGTGGACATTTGGAGCGCTTTCAGGCCTGTGGTGGCAAAGGCCTGAAAGCATTTATTTATCTTCACAGAAAGACGAGAGAGAAGCATTGTCAGAAACTTCTTTGTGATGATTGCATTCAACTCACAGAGTTGAAGATTCCTTTTGAAACAGCAGTTTCGAAACACTCTTTCTGTGGGATCCGCAAGGGGATATTTGGACTTCTTTGAAGGTTTCGTTGGAAACGGGATAATCTTCACCTAAAAGCTAAACGGAAGCACTCTCAGAAACTTCTTTGGGATGTTTGCATTCACCTCTCAGAGTTGAACTTTCCCTTTGATAGCGCAGCTTTGACACACTTTTTCTACAATGTGCAAGTGGCTATTTAGCGGACTTGGAGGACTGTGTTGGAAAAGGAAATATCTTCTCCTAAAAACGACATAGAAGCATTCTCAGAAACTGCTCTGTGATGATTGCATTCAACTCCCAGAGTTGAACATTCCTTTTGATAGAGCAGTTTGCAAACACTCTTTTTGTAGAATCTGCAAGTGGAGATTTGGACCGCTTTGAGGCCTGTGGTAGTAAAGGAAAGAACTTCATATAAAAACCAGACGGTAGCACTCTCAGAAAATTCTTTGTGACGATGGAGTTTAACTCAGAGAGCTGAACATTCGTTATGATGGAGCAGTTTCCAAACACACGTTTTGTAGAATCTGCAAGGGGATATTTGGACCTCTCTGAGGATTTCGTTGGAAACGGGATCAACTTCCCATAACTGAACGGTAGCAAACTCAGAACATTCTTTGTGATGTTTGTATTCAACTCACAGAGTTGAACCTTCCTTTGATAGTTCAGGTTTGCAACACCCTTGTAGTAGAATCTGCAAGTGTATATTTTGACCACTTTGTAGCCTTCGTTTGAAACGTCTATATCTTCACCTCAAACCTAGACAGAAGCATTCTCAGAAAGTTTTCTGCGATGACTGCATTCAACTCACAGAGTTGAACAATCCTTTTGATGGAGCAGTTTTGAAACCCTCTTTCTTTGGAATCTGCAAGGGGATATGTGGACCTCTTTGAAGATTTCACTGGAAACGGGATCATCTTCACATAAAAACTAAACAGAAGCATTCTCGGAAACTACTTTGTGATGTTTGTATTCAACTCCCAGAGTTGAACTTTCCTTTTGAAAGAGCAGCTATGAAACACTCTTTTTCGAGAATCTGCAAGTGGACGTTTGGAGGGCTTTGAGGCCTGTGGTGGAAAAGGAAATATCTTCACATAAAAACTAGATAGAAGCATTCTCAGAAACGACTTTGTGAGGATGGCATTCAACTCATGGAGTTGAACAATCCTATTGATAGAGCAGATTGGAATCACTCTTTTTGTAGAATCTGCAAATGGAGATTTGGACTGCTTTGAGGCCTACGGTAGTATAGGAAGGAACTTCATATAAAAGGCAAACGGAAGCATTCTCAGAATATTCTTTGTGATGATGGAGTTTCACTCACAGAGCTGAACATGCCTTTTGATGGAGCAGTTTCCAAATACACTTTTGGTAGAATCTGCAGGTGGATATTTGGAGCTCTCTGAGGATTTCGTTGGAAACGGGAATAATTTCCCATAACTAAACACAAACACTCTGAGAAAGTTCTTCATGATGAATGCATTTAACTCGCAGAGATGAACCTGCCTTTGAGAGTTCAGGTTCGAAACACTCTTTCTGTAGAATCTGCAAGTGGATATTTGGACCACTGGGTGGCCTTCGTTCGAAACGGATATATGTTCACGTAAAAACTAAAGAGAAGCATTCTCAGAAACTTCTGAGTGATGATTGCATTCAAGTCGCACAGTTGAACCCGCCTTTTGATTGAGCAGTTTTGAAACTGTCTTTTTGTAGAATCTGTAAGTGGATACGTGGACCTCTTGGAAGATTTCTTTGGAAACGGGAATATTTCCACAGAAAAACTAAACTGAAGCATTCTCAGAAACTGCTTTGTGATGTTGGTGTTCGAGCCGCAGAGTTTAACATTGCTTTTCATAGAGCAGTTTTGAAATATTCTTTTGGCAGAATCTGCAAGTGGACATTTGGAGCGCTTTCAGGCCTGTGGTGGAAAAGGCCTGAAAGCCTTTTCCTTTATCTTCACAGAAAGACGAGAGAGAAGCATTGTCAGAAACTTCTTTGTGATGATTGCATTCAACTCACAGAGTTGAAGATTCCTTTTGTAACAGCAGTTTCGAAACACTCTTTCTGTGGGATCCGCAAGGGGATATTTGGACCTCTTTGAAGATTTCGTTGGAAACGGGATAATCTTCACCTAAAAGCTAAACGGAAGCATTCTCAGAAACTTCTTTGGGATGTTTGCATTCACCTCACAGAGTTGAACTTTCCCTTTGATAGCGCAGCTTCGACACACTTTTTCTACAATGTGCAAGTGGATATTTAGCGGGCTTGGAGGACTGTGTTGGAAAAGGAAATATCTTCTCCTAAAAACGTCATAGAAGCATTCTCAGAAACTGCTCTGTGATGATTGCATTCAACTCCCAGAGTTGAACATTCCTTTTGATAGAGCAATTTGCAAACACTCTTTTTGTAGAATCTGCAAGTGGAGATTTGGACCGCTTTGAGGCCTGTGGTAGTAAAGGAAAGAACTTCATATAAAAAGTAGACGGTAGCACTCTCAGAAAATTTTTTGTGACGATGGAGTTTAACTCAGAGAGCTGAACATTCGTTATGATGGAGCAGTTTCCAAACACACGTTTTGTAGAATCTGCAAGGGGATATTTGGACCTCTCTGAGGATTTCGTTGGAAACGGGATCAACTTCCCATAACTGAACGGAAGCAAACTCAGAACATTCTTTGTGATGTTTGTATTCAACTCACAGAGTTGAACCTTCCTTTGATAGTTCAGGTTTGCAACACCCTTGTAGTAGAATCTGCAAGTGTATATTTTGACCACTTTGTAGCCTTCGTTTGAAACGTCTATATCTTCACATCAAACCTAGACAGAAGCATTCTCAGAAAGTTTTCTGCGATGAGTGCATTCAACTCACAGATTTGAACAATCCTTTTGATGGAGCAGTTTTGAAACCCTCTTTCTTTGGAATCTGCAAGAGGATATGTGGACCTCTTTGAAGATTTCACTGGAAACGGGATCATCTTCACATAAGAACTAAACAGAAGCATTCTCGGAAACTACTTTGTGATGTTTGTATTCAACTCCCAGAGTTGAACTTTCCTTTTGAAAGAGCAGCTATGAAACACTCTTTTTCGAGAATCTGCAAGTGGACGTTTGGAGGGCTTTGAGGCCTGTGGTGGAAAAGGAAATATCTTCACATAAAAACTAGATAGAAGCATTCTCAGAAACGACTTTGTGAGGATGGCATTCAACTCATGGAGTTGAACAATCCTATTGATAGAGCAGATTGGAATCACTCTTTTTGTAGAATCTGCAAATGGAGATTTGGACTGCTTGAGGCCTACGGTCGTATAGGAAGGAACTTCATATAAAAGGCAAACGGAAGCATTCTCAGAATATTCTTTGTGATGATGGAGTTTCACTCACAGAGCTGAACATGCCTTTTGATGGAGCAGTTTCCAAATACACTTTTGGTAGAATCTGCAGGTGGATATTTGGAGCTCTCTGAGGATTTCGTTGGAAACGGGAATAATTTCCCATAACTAAACACAAACACTCTGAGAAAGTTCTTCATGATGAATGCATTTAACTCGCAGAGATGAACCTGCCTTTGAGAGTTCAGGTTCGAAACACTCTTTCTGTAGAATCTGCAAGTGGATATTTGGACCACTGGGTGGCCTTCGTTCGAAACGGGTATATGTTCACAGTAAAAACTAAAGAGAAGCATTCTCAGAAACTTCTGAGTGATGATTGCATTCAAGTCACACGGTTGAACCCTCCTTTTGATGGAGCAGTTTTGAAACTGTCTTTTTGTAGAATCTGTAAGTGGATACGTGGACCTCTTTGAAGATTTCTTTGGAAACGGGAATATTTCCACAGAAAAACTAAACTGAAACATTCTCAGAAACCGCTTTGTGATGTTTGTGTTCCAGCCACAGAGTTTAACATTGCTTTTCATAGAGCAGTTTTGAAATATTCTTTTCGCAGAATCTGCAAGTGGACATTTGGAGCGCTTTCAGGCCTGTGGTGGAACAGGCCTGAAAGCCTTTTCCTTTATCTTCACAGAAAGGCGAGAGAGAAGAAGCATTGTCAGAAACTTCTTTGTGATGATTGCATTCAACTCACAGAGTTGAAGATTCCTTTTGAAACAGCAGTTTCGAAACACTCTTTCTGTGGGATCCGCAAGGGGATATTTGGACTTCTTTGAAGGTTTCGTTGGAAACGGGATAATCTTCACCTAAAAGCTAAACGGAAGCATTCTCAGAAACTTCTTTGGGAAGTTTGCATTCACCTCACAGAGTTGAATTTTCCCTTTGATAGCGCAGCTTCGACACACTTTTTCTACAATGTGCAAGTGGATATTTAGCGGGCTTGGAGGACTGTGTTGGAAAAGGAAATATCTTCTCCTAAAAACGACATAGAAGCATTCTCAGAAACTGCTCTGTGATGATTGCATTCAACTCCCAGAGTTGAACATTCCTTTTGATAGAGCAGTTTGCAAACACTCTTTTTGTAGAATCTGCAAGTGGAGATTTGGACCGCTTTGAGGCCTGTGGTAGTAAAGGAAAGAACTTCATATAAAAACTAGACGGTAGCACTCTCAGAAAATTCTTTGTGACGATGGAGTTTAACTCAGAGAGCTGAACATTCGTTATGATGGAGCAGTTTCCAAACACACGTTTTGCAGAATCTGCAAGGGGATATTTGGACCTCTCTGAGGATTTCGTTGGAAACGGGATCAACTTCCCATAACTGAACGGAAGCAAACTCAGAACATTCTTTGTGATGTTTGTATTCAACTCACAGAGTTGAACCTTCCTTTGATAGTTCAGGTTTGCAACACCCTTGTAGTAGAATCTGCAAGTGTATATTTTGACCACTTTGTAGCCTTCGTTTGAAACGTCTATATCTTCACATCAAACCTAGACAGAAGCATTCTCAGAAAGTTTTATGCGATGACTGCATTCAACTCACAGAGTTGAACAATCCTTCTGATGGAGCAGTTTTGAAACCCTCTTTCTTTGGAATCTGCAAGGGGATATGTGGACCTCTTTGAAGATTTCACTGGAAACGGGATCATCTTCACATAAAAACTAAACAGAAGCATTCTCGGAAACTACTTTGTGATGTTTGTATTCAACTCCCAGAGTTGAACTTTCCTTTTGAAAGAGCAGCTATGAAACACTCTTTTTCGAGAATCTGCAAGTGGACGTTTGGAGGGCTTGGAGGCCTGTGGTGGAAAAGGAAATACCTTCACATAAAAACTAGATAGAAGCATTCTCAGAAACTACTTTGTGAGGATGGCATTCAACTCATGGAGTTGAACAATCCTATTGATAGAGCAGATTGGAATCACTCTTTTTATAGAATCTGCAAATGGAGATTTGGACTGCTTTGAGGCCTACGGTAGTACAGGAAGGAACTTCATATAAAAGGCAAACGGGAAGCATTCTCAGAATATTCTTTGTGATGATGGAGTTTCACTGACAGAGCTGAACATGCCTTTTGATGGAGCAGTTTCCAAATACACTTTTGGTAGAATCTGCAGGTGGATATTTGGAGCTCTCTGAGGATTTCGTTGGAAACGGGAATAATTTCCCATAACTAAACACAAACACGCTGAGAAAGTTCTTCATGATGAATGCATTTAACTCGCAGAGATGAACCTGCCTTTGAGAGTTCAGGTTCGAAACACTCTTTCTGTAGAATCTGCAAGTGGATATTTGGACCACTGGGTGGCCTTCGTTCGAAACGGGTATATGTTCACGTAAAAACTAAAGAGAAGCATTCTCAGAAACTTCTGAGTGATGATTGCATTCAAGTCACACAGTTGAACCCTCCTTTTGATGGAGCAGTTTTGAAACTGTCTTTTTGTAGAATCTGTAAGTGGATACGTGGACCTCTTTGAAGATTTCTTTGGAAACGGGAATATTTCCACAGAAAAACTAAACTGAAGCATTCTCAGAAACTGCTTTGTGATGTTTGTGTTCGAGCGACAGAGTTTAACATTGCTTTTCATAGAGCAGTTTTGAAATATTCTTTTGGCAGAATCTGCAAGTGGACATTTGGAGCGCTTTCAGGCCTGTGGTGGAAAAGGCCTGAAAGCCTTTTCCTTTATCTTCACAGAAAGACGAGAGAGAAGCATTGTCAGAAACTTCTTTGTGATGATTGCATTCAACTCACAGAGTTGAAGATTCCTTTTGAAACAGCAGTTTCGAAACACTCTTTCTGTGGGATCCGCAAGGGGATATTTGGACCTCTTTGAAGGTTTCGTTGGAAACGGGATAATCTTCACCTAAAAGCTAAACGGAAGCATTCTCAGAAACTTCTTTGGGATGTTTGCATTCACCTCACAGAGTTGAACTTTCCCTTTGATAGCGCAGCTTCGACACACTTTTTCTACAATGTGCAAGTGGATATTTAGCGGGCTTGGAGGACTGTGTTGGAAAAGGAAATATCTTCTCCTAAAAACGACATAGAAGCATTCTCAGAAACTGCTCTGTGATGATTGCATTCAACTCCCAGAGTTGAACATTCCTTTTGATAGAGCAGTTTGCAAACACTCTTTTTGTAGAATCTGCAAGTGGAGATTTGGACCACTTTGAGGCCTGTGGTAGTAAAGGAAAGAACTTCATATAAAAACTAGAAGGTATAACATAAACAGTCATTTAACACATATTTTATGTTTTATGTACTATATACTATTATATATTCTTACAATAAAGTAAGCTAGAGAAAAGGAAATGTTATTAAGAAAATCATAAGGAAGAGAAAATATATTTACTATTCATTAAGTGGAAGTGGATTCTCAAAAAGGTCTTTACCCTGGCATTCCCATTGAGTTGGCTGAGGAAGAGTGGGAGGAGGAGGAAGAGGAGGAGGAGGAGGAGGAGGAGGAGAATTTTCTGAGGGTGCTAC